>NC_000006.12:11878181-12029696 GCF_000001405.40 Homo sapiens
TAAAGACATTCACACTGGAAATAAATGTATACATGGCTGCATTATATGCTTCAGCCTGCCAATAAGCATGTCCGGTTTTTAACAGGGGGAAAGGAACTTTCAGAGTGCCTTTTCCAAAGGAGTAAGATAACATGAGCTTTGCTATGCAGCCACAACAAAAAGCTGAACAGCAGGAGGATGAGTTGGGGAATTTCACTGTCTGAGCTAAAGCATAAAGCTAGTGACATGCACAAGAAAATCAGATTTAGTGGTTGAATGTTGATGTTTCAGAATGGAAAATTAGAGCTTGATGTATAATTGCAGGGAGAGCTGTTTCCTACCACTTTATTTTAGTGTATTCCCAATAAACAGGCTACTCCAGGTGATATCTTACTTCCTGCAGTTTGTAGCTGGCTTAATCAGACAAGTGACTTTTTTAGCCTCTGGTCAAGGAAGGGACAAGCATATAATAAAATCATCTTTCATGCCTGAGCTGAATTAAAACAGTACAACTTTGTCACTAATGATAAAGCAAGGCAAAGGATTTAGAACAGTCAGAGTCATAATTGCAAGCTGCAAAATAATTAAATGTTATTGCGGTATGCAAAAAATATTTAGGAGCCTGCCTTTACAGCAAATGAATTATGGGATTTTCCAATCACATGCATATGACCAACATATGCAGTTGTAGATTTTTTTGACCATGCATCAAGCCTAACAACTGGGTTCCAAGTGAATCAAGCACTTGTTTGAAAGAAATGTAATCAAATATGGATTATTTCAACAACAGCCAAAGAGTTTCTTCCTGAGTTCCCTGCCGGCAAAAAGCAGGGGATTTGCGCCACTCATTTCTGAGCAAACCACATTCCTTGAATGTGGCTGATCCCTCCCAGTCTAAACATTATTTTTTAATGTGAAACCCTGCAATTAAATCTTCTTCCCTGAAAAAAGGAAAGTTCACTGAGCAGAGAAACCAACTGCATCCCCCATTGAGAAGACTGCAATGGGAGGGGGCAGTGTTTTCTGTGGGAAGACCCACTAATGGGATGAAAACAGAAGTACATTTTGGGGGGAGGAGAAGAGGAAAATTCTTGTGCACATCTGGGGATTTCATGTATTCAAACATACACTCAAGGGTGTGTGTGTGTATGTGTGTGTGTGTGTGTGCATGCACTTGTCCCTTAGAAACAGAAAACACTGCTAATACTCAAAATGTTTTTTATGACAAGGATCAAACTTAAATAAGCTTTGCTATTGATCATATTCCTTTTACTCATGTTTCGCCTTGCTAAGGAGAGGCTTTACTAAGGAAAGCAATGGATTTATTAGTGAAATAATGAAGTGATTCATTGGACTGAAAACGGTGTCTAATGTTTCACAAATAAGATTTTCCCTTCTTGAGAAACTTATTTCCGTCATATTGAGCCAGGGTGGCTGTCTCACAGAGGGTCACTTTGGAAGAGGTCCAGAAATGCGCTTTTTCTCCTGCCCATTGCATTGATAATAGCCAGGGGATGCTTGGGAACAAGGCCTACCCATTAGAATGCAGTAAGTCTTATAAAGATTATACATGTTTATGTCACCTCCCAAAAATATGCCCTCATTGTCTTCCTAATTTAGGAGGCCTAATTCCTCAAATTAGGGTAACTTAAGACAAACTATTCTAGAATATCCTACAGTTGAAATATGTTCATTTTTCTCCCACTAGACATTTATTAAGCCACCAAGTAGGTATGGGGCCAGGTATAAGGGAAAGGAAGAGAATGCATCAATTGAGTCAGCCACAGTCTCACCTCTGGGAGGTCTTTTTAGCTGGGAAGTGACCTGATATTGTATTTTAGAAAAATCACCATAGTGGCAACTTAGAGGCTAACTAGGGGTTAGGAGAGGTGAAACATGGAGAAGATTTGGAAAGCTATTGTAAGAGTCCAGGCATGTGAGGATGAAGGCCTGGTCTCAGGTAGTGTATTAGTCTGTTTTTATGCTGCTGATAATACATACCCAAGACTGGGCACTTTACAAAAGAAAGGGGTTTAATTGGACTCACAGTTCCACATGGCTGGGGAGGCCTCACAATCATGACGGAAGGCAAGGAGGAGCAAGTCACATCTTACATGGATGGCGGCAGGCAAAGAGAGAGGTTGTGCAGGGAAACTCCCATTTTTAAAACTATCAGATCTCATGAAACTTATTCACTATCATGAGAACAGCATGGGAAAGACCCACTCCCATGATTCAACCATCTCCCATTGTGTCCCTGCCACAACACGTGGGAATTACGGGAGCTATAAGATGAGATTTGGTTGGGGACACAGAGCCAAACCATATCAGGTAGTAATTATTGGAATAGGAACTAAGGTAAGGATTTGTGACATACTATAGCCCACACTGTTCATTATGGTAGCTCCTAACCACATGTGCCTACTTAAATTTAAAATTTAAATTTTAAATAATTAAAATTAAATAATATTAAACATATTAATAGCATAAAATTTCCATAGTCACACTAGTCATATTTCAAGGATTCAATAGCCACACTTAGCTAGTGGCAACCTCATTGGACTATGCAAATATAGTATGTGTCTGCATTTGGAGAACATTCCATCTACAAGGCTATGTAGAGTTTTGTTCTTTCAAAAATTTATGACTAGCTGTGAAGGTTGATGACATTAGAATTTGTAGTATTAAAAAGGCGTGAATTTGAACCCTACTGTGGATTGATACATGGGAGATAGTTACTTGGCTACTGGTGAGCCACATTGTTCCTGTCCCCACCAGAATTTTCATATCAATGATACTCTGTGATGATCAAATCATCCTGCACAATGCATGTGTTTGTGCACATAGTGCTACATATTATATAGTATGATGTATTATATATCTACAGGTCCATCTATTTAATATATCCATTCCTATAACTAGGTCTAGATGTGTAAAGTACTTGGTGGTTGTGTCACCAGCCAACTGTGCCAGCTCAGATCCTCTGAAAAGTAGATGCCAAGGTGATATTAGATTTGCATGAGGTACAAATCTATGAAGAAGAAAGGGAGAAGAGCAGCAGAGGAGGCAGGCAGAGCCTTCGGACCATGGAGCAGACATGACACCTGTGAAGGAGAGGAGGGGGATGGACATCCACTGAGTAGGAAGAGTCTTGGAATGTTCCAAGAAAGTGTCAAGAAAATTCCATGAACAGTTTGCCAGGCTCATTTGAAGTCTTTAAGTCAAAGTCACCAAGCAGAGGAGTCCTGAGTATCTCAGGGATGGCCTGCATTCATTTCATGGTTTGGCTGTGTGTCCCTACCCAAATCTCATCTTGAGTTATAATCCCCATAATCTCCACATGTCAAGGGAGAGACCTGATGGGAGGTCCTTGGATCATGGGGGTTTCCCCCATGCTGTTCTTGTGATAGTGAGTGAGTTTTCACAAGATCTGATGGTTTTATAAGGCAGTTTCCCCTGCTTTTGCTCGCGATCTCTCTCCTGTCGTCATGTAAGACACACCTGCGATCAAGTTGGCTTCATCCCTGGGATGCAAGGCTGCTTCAACATATGCAAATCAATAAACATAATCCGTCACATAAACAGAACCAATCACAAAAACCACATGACTATCTCAATAGATACAGAAAAGGACTTTGACAAAATTCAACAGCCCTTCATGCTAAAAACTCTCAATAAACTAGGTATTGATGGGACGTATCTCAAAATAATAAGAGCTATTTATGACAAACCCACAACCAATATCATACTGAATGGGCAAAAACTGGAAGTATTCCCTTTGAAAACCGGCACAAGACAGGGATGCCCTCTCTCACCACTCCTATTCAACATAGTGTTGGAAGTTCTGGCCAGGGCAATCAGGCAAGAGAAGGAAATAAAGGGAATTCAAATAGGAAGAGAGGAAGTCAAATTGTCTCTGTCTGCAGATGACATGATTGCATATTTAGAAAACCCCATTGTCTCAGCCCAAAATCTCCCTAAGCTGATAAGCAACTTCAGCAAAGTCTCAGGATACAAAATTAATGTGCAAAAATGGCAAGCATGCTTATACACCAATAACAGACAGAGAGCCAAATCATGAGTGAACTTCCATTCACAACTGCTTCAAAGAGAATAAAATACCTAGGAATCCAACTTACAAGGGATGTGAAGGACCTCTTCAAGGAGAACTACAAACCACTGCTCAGTGAAATAAAAGAGGATACAAACAAATGGAAGAATATTCCATGCTCAGGGATAGGAAGAATCAATATCGTGAAAAGGGCCATGCTGCCTAAGGTAATTTATACATTCAATGCCATCCCCATCAAACTACCAATGACTTTCTTCACAGAATTGGAAAAAACTACTTTAAAGTTCATATGGAACCAAAAAAGAGCCTGCATTGCCAAGACAATCCTAAGCCAAAAGAACAATGCTGGAGGCATCATGCTACCTGACTTCAAACTATACGACAAGGCTACAGTAACCAAAACAGCATGGTACTCGTACCAAAACAGATATATAGACCAATGGAATAGAACAGAGCCCTCAGAAATAATACCACACATCTACAACCATCTGATCTTTGACAAACCTGACAAAAACAAGAAATGGGGAAAGGATTCCTTATTTAATAAATGGTGCTGGGAAAACTGGCTAGCCATATGTAGAAAGCTGAAACTGGATCCCTTCCTTACACCTTATACAAAAATTAATTCAAGATGGATTAAAGACTTAAATGTTAGACCTAAAAACCATAAAAATCCTAGAAGAAAACCTAGGCAATACCACGAAGGACATAGGCATGGGCAAGGGCTTCATGACTAAAACACCAAAAGCAATGGCAACAGAAACCAAAATAGACAAATGTGATCTAATTAAACTAAAGAGCTTCTGCACAGCAAAAGAAACTACCATCAGAGTGAATAGGCAACCTACAAAATGGGAGAAAATTTTTGCAATCTACCCATCTGACAAAGGGCTAATATCCAGAATCTACAAAGAACTCAAACAAATTTACAAGAAAAAAACAAACAACCCCATCAAAAAGTGGACAAAGGATATGAACAGACACTTCTCAAAAGAAGACATTTATGCAGCCAACAGACACATGAAAAAATGCTCATCATCACTGGCCATCAGAGAAATGCAAATCAAAACCACAATGAGATACCATCTCACACCAGTTAGAATGGCAATCATTAAAAAGTCAGGAAACGACAGGTGCTGGAGAGGATGTGGAGAAATCGGAACACTTTTACACTGTTGGTGGGAGTGTAGACTAGTTCAACCATTGTGGAAGACAGTGTGGTGATTCCTCAAGGATCTAGAACTAGAAATACCATTTGACCCAGTGATCCCATTACTGGGTATATACCCAAAGGATTATAAATCATACTGCTATAAAGACACATACACACGTATGTTTTTTGTGGCACTATTCACAATAGCAAAGACTTGGAACCAACCCAAATGTCTATCAATGATAGACTGGATTAAGAAAATGCGCCACATATACACCATGGAATACTATGCAGCCATAAAAAAGGATGAGTTCATGTCCTTTGCAGGGACATGGATGAAGCTGGAAACCATCATTCTGGGCAAATTATCACAAGGACAGAAAACCAAACACCACATGTTCTCCTTCATAGGTGGGAATTGAACAATGAGAACACTTGGACACAGGGTGGGGAACATTACACACTGGGGCCTGTCATGGGGTGGGGGGAGGGGGGAGGGATAGCATTAGGAGAAATACCTAATGTAAATGATGAGTTAATGGGTGCAGCACACCAACACGGCACATGTATACCTATGTAACAAACCTGCACGTTGTGCACATGTACGCTAGAACTTAAAGTATAATTAAAACAATAAATTTATAAAACATAATTTTAAAAAAAGACATGTCTGCTTCCCCTTCTGCCATGATTTTAAGTTTCCTGAGGCTTCCCTAGCCATACAAAACTGTGAGTCAAAACTCTTTTCTTTATAAATTACCCAGTCTCTAGCAGTCCTTTACAGCAGTGTGACAACAGACTAAAACAATTAGTATCCCCACTGTGCTGGGGGCAGCCTGTGGGAAGCATGGCCTTGGAGTGTATGTAGTGGTGAATCGAGAGGGTGACAGCTGGGGCCATCAAACACTATGCTCATCATGGGAAAGACCTGAACAGCACCTTTCAATGGCTTCCAAAATAGTATATTTTGTATTATTAGCACTTTATGTATATGTAATGCATAATAATATATATTTATAATATTTTGTGTATATAAGACATGATACTATAAAATAATTGAAATATATTTTATAATATGCTGCATTTATAATTCTTATGTATTCAAGAATTGGGGAATTCTTATATGATAACCCAACACTTATGAAAATCAATAATATTTTGTAATTAGGTGGTAGAATCAAAACAACTTAATGGGGACATCTCTACTTACAGAAAGATGGAGTAGAAAATTTTTTTTCTATACCTTCCACTAAGAACAACTAAATTGCTCCCCAACCCCGGGCATTATATATGAAACAAACATGAGAAGTCTCTGAAAGGTGGAAAGAAGGCATACTAGCTAGGAACCTCAGAACCTAAAAAATGACATGACAGAGAGTTCTCTAGGTTTTCTATTTTCCCCATATATCCCAAATCAGGTACCAAAAAGCCAATAATCTTGTAATGTCCACAAACACAGACCAAGCAAAGCCCAACAAAATCCCTCTCTGTTGAGCCAAAGGATCAGAAATGGAAATGGAACAGTCTAGCAAAATGCAAAATTTTTAGAAGAGTAAACACTTCATTGTAGCCAAGCACCACAGTGGGGTAAAAAGACCCTGTGGCCACATTCCCACTTACACCAGCAAAGGCTAAATTGAGAACCTAGACTTCCATCCTTATCAAACTGTAGAAAGGCTCCCCAATCTCTTTGCCAGGCTGAGTAGGGAGCCCAGACTTCCATTCCCAATGAGCAGTAATGAGTGTCCCCTTTGAGGTGTCAGTGTAGACCATGTAGGAGCCTAGACTTCCACCCCAGTTAAGGGGGTGGAAGTCCAGGCACATATCCTTCCTGATGAGGTGGTGTCTGAGAGGCCTTGTGAAGAGTTGAGAATTTCACTACCACCAGTAGTAATGAGCCAACCCTCCACCATGGTGTCAGTAGGGATCACATGGTGAGTGGCATTGAGGCACTCCTATGCCTCCCAGCCAGTATATCAAAGAGTTATGTCTGGAGGCCTAGGGGAAGCCAGAACTCCTATCACCATGACAGCAATAAGGACCTTTCTCCCCAGGTGTCAATAGAGGCAGAGTGGTGAGCCTGAATTTCTGTTCCCACCTGCAGAAACAAGGGTTTATCTCTCATCTCCTCCCAAAGTGGTAGCGGAAAAAGACCACCAAAATACAAAGTTCAATAAGATTTACAGTTTCATAACATAAGACTCAATATGTCAAGTTTCAATCTAAATCACTCATACCAAGAAACAGGAAGGTCTCATACTGCATTAAAAAATACAAGTAATAGATGCCAACACTGAAATGAATGGGATATTAGAATTGTTTGACAAAAATTTTAAAGTAGCCATCATAAAAAATCCTTCAACACACAACTAAGAACATGCTGAAAAAAAATTTAAAAATAAAGTCTTAGCAAAGAAATACGAAATATAAAGTAGAACCAAATGGAAATTTTAGGACTGAATATACAATAACTGAAATTTTTTTAATGCTGTAGATGAACTTAACAAAAGAATGGAGGGAACAGAGAAAAGATTCAGAAAGATAGAATAGAAATTACTCAATGGTATCAACAGAGTCAAAATAGACTAAAAAAAATGAAAAATGAACAGAGCTTCAGGGACACATGGGACTATTACAAGAAAGCTAACATTTGTGTCATTAGAGTCCTAGAAAGAGAAGAGAAAAGAGGTTGAGACTGAAAAATACTCAAAGAAATAATGGCTGAAAACTTTCAACTTTGATCAAAGACATAAACCTACAGCTCAAGGAGCTGAGCAAAACCTAAACAAGATAAACCCAAAGTAATCCACACTCAGGTATGGAGTCAAACTTCTGAAAACTAAAGACAAAGAAAAAATGTTGGAAGCACTGGGAGAGAAACAACTCCTTACTTACAGGAGGAGAACAATTTGAATAATAATGGGTTTCTCAACATAAACTGAGGAGGCCAGAAAGAATTGGCACATTTTTCAAGTGGTGAAAGTAAAGAATCATCAGCCCAGAATCCTATGTCCAGTAAAAATATCTTTAAGGAATGAAGAGGAAATCAAGACATTCTCAGCTGAAGAAAAGCTAAGTGAATTTGTTACCAACAGACCTATTCAAAAAGAATATCTAAAAGAAGCTCCTTAAATAGAGAGGGAACAACATAAAACAATCATGCAATGTCAGGAATGTAAAAAGAACATAAGAAAAAATATAGGCAAATACAATGTATTTTTCTTCTTCTCTTGAATCCTCTAAATCATGTTTGAGGTTGAAAGAAAAAATATGACAGTGTTTGCTGTCATATTTGCCAAAAATATACGTAAAGAAAATATTTAAGATAATTGTGTTACAATGGGGGAGGGTAAAGGGACATAAAAGAAAGTAAGGTTCTTATACTTCACTTGAACTGCAAAATGGTGATACCAGTAAACTATGATAACATATGTGTATAGAATGTTATACCTTGAGTAAACCCTAAAAATATTTACAAAGAGATATATTCATGAACACTATAAATAAATCAAAATTGAATTCTAAAGAATGTTCAAATAACCCACAGGAAGACAGGAACAAGTAAACAAATGAAAACTGGAACAGATAGAAAACAAAAACTAAGATGGCCAACTAACATAACAATAATTACATTAAATTTAAAAGATCTAAACCTTCCAATTAAACAACAGAGACTGGCAGAATGAATTTTAAAACATGACCCAACTATATGCTTTTTGTAAGAATATCACTTTAAATGTAATAATACAATCATATTAAAAGAAAAAGGATAAAAAAAATCATGCAAACGCTAATCAGAAGAAAGCAGGAGTGGCTATATTAGTGTCAGATAAAGTAGACTGTAAAGAAAATTACCAGAAACATAAAGGGACATTTATAATAATAAAAGTTTCAATTAACCAAGAAGATATAACAATCTTATATGCGTAGACATCAAATAACAGAGCTGCAAAATATGTAAAGCCAAAACTGATAGAATTTAATGGAGAAAGAGATAAATCCACCATTATAAGATCTTAGCACCCTTATCTCAAAAATTAATAGAATGATTAGATAGGAAAGCAGCATGGATATTGAAGAACTCATCACCATCGACTAACAAAATCTAATTGGCATCTATAGAACACTTCACCTAGCAGCAGCAGAATATAAGTGCCCACAGGACATAGACCAAGATAGACCACATCCTGAGCCATTAAACAAATTCCCCAAAATTGAAAACAATTGAGATGTAGTGTAAGACCTAAAATAAAGGCTTGATATTGTGTGCTGCCTTGATAGCTGGTAAAATTGAGAGAGCCTCATCTGGCCTAATCACAAGTTCCCCTCCCCACTCAGCTATTGTGGATAAGGTCCCCTTAGCCAAGCAACCCTCCTATGAAGAGGAACAGGTGCAGTTCCTGCACATCTCTGAGTAGCAAGTTACCCTTGCAGCTATGGAATTACTCAAACATGCCAATAACATACGCCTGTGGAAATCAGGGGATTCCCCATCCTCTTAATACTGCAAAGCCAACCTCACACAACCCCCAGTTGTACACTCTTTTCCCAAGTGCAACACCTATATAGCCCTGGATGGTGCGCAGTGCCCTCCCATTGCAGGCTACGGGTATATGTAACTGATAAACTGCTGTCAAGCTCATCTGTACAGCACTGAGTGTCTTAAGTTTGGCCATCCCAAGAACCATAGAGTAGAAATTTCTCCCTTGCCAATGGGATAAATAGAAGACAATAAAAACATGAAATTATTCACAGCTGTGTTCTCTAACCACAAGGGAATCAACCAAAAATGAATAATAGGAAGACCAAAACAATCTCCTAACACCAAAAAATTAAGCAACAAACTTCTAAATAATCTGTGGATAAAAGAGAAAATCTGAAGGGAAGTAAAAAAAGACTTGATGAGTAACCAAAGATGAAAAATAATGAGAGAGACAAAGGGGTTAAATGTGATTTGAAGTTTAGATGCTGAGAGAAGACAAGCTAGCCATCATAGATCATCTTAAGAAATCAATGCAGGCTGGGCACAGTGGCTAATGCCTATAATCTCAGCCCTTTGGGAGGCCAAGGCAGGCGGATCACCGGAGGTCAGGAGTTCGAGACCAGCCTGGCCAACATGGCGAAACCACGTCTCTACTAAAAATACAAAAATTAGCCGGGCATGTTGGTGGGTGCCTGTAATCCCAGCCACTCGGGAGGCTGAGGCAGGAGAATTGCTGGAACCTGAGAGGCAGAGGTTGCAGTGAGCTGAGATCGTGCTACTGCACTCCAGTCTGGGCAACAGAGCGAGATTCCGTATCAAAAAAAAAAAAAAAAAAAAAAAAAAATTCAATGCAGATTTGTGAATTTCATCAACTAGTTAGCCGACTTGGAAAGTGGAAGCAGGTACAGAGTTCTGAGAGAAAAGATTGATAGGTGGAAGATGGAAAGAGAAAGCTGAAGCTAAACTACGGAATACCGACCAGAAACAGACCCTAGTGAGTTGCCTTCACAGGACACAGCAATAAGCCCATGGAAGAAGGTGGAAAAGAGCTGAGGTTGCGGTTTGACACTAAAACATTCCTTCCTTTTCTCTGATGTCCAGTATCCCATTGTTTAGCTCTTTTTGTTTGGAATTCTGACAAGGAACGTGGGCAACTTAAGTTTAATAATATGATGGAAGTTCTCTGCAAAGTGGTCCACTCTGGGCAAACACAAGTTATTCTATTATCTTTCCTTTACCTTCATGGGAGCTCAGGTCCTCTTACCTGTTCAGAACTTACAGATATTTGGGAGATTATTTTGCAATTATAACTACAAAGATAGGAGAAGAGGCCAAAAAAAAAAACAAACTCCACAGTTTAATTTTTTTCATTATTTTATAATTTAGCACTTCACCCAATCTATTCAACTTGACTTTTTATATTCTCGTCAAGTAACCTTTGCTCAAGCCAGACCAAATATTTTCCTGTTCATGAGTAAGCCAAGCTCATTTCTATTCCCAAATTTCTGAAAGTTAATTAGTTTTATTCTCTGACAGGGTAGCAATGACTAACTTTTAAAAGTCAGAGCAGTATAATTGAAATAGCACTGATTATATGTAACACATATTACATAATACATATATAATTATACGTATAATTATCTCTTTAAATATACACAAACCTATATCTAGATATAGGCACTGGTTTATATATTTATATTTATATGTTTATAACTGAAAGGATAATTATAGAATGTGATTAATATTCATCTGTGGGTTATGGCCTACATGTTAATGCCAAAGGCAAGAAAGAATTCAGTCACCAATTGCTACACACATAGCATTCAAATCAATTAGTGCAAGAATGCCCATGGGCGTGTGCACACACACATACAAGCATACATAATTCATTTCAATTCTCTTTCCAGTTTTCTTATAAACATCTCCATCTGCAAAAAATTCTAAAGATTTTTACAACGTATGACACACCAGTTAGGAAATCATAATGTTCATTATTCATAACATCATGCACCATGACCGAATTATGATCTAAGTGCTCTGGGGTAATGGAGAAAGATTCATAGCCTCAAGGAGGAATATTTTATGGCTAATTTTCTATTATCCTTTCTATGCCATTCTAGGAATAGGTAAAATAATCTCACCCATTTTTCTGTAACTTTTCTGGTGTCTAATTGTGGTGAAGAACATCAAAAATTATTGCAGAGAAAATCACTCTCCACTAATTCTCCATTTTTATGTTTATTTTTTACATTTTATTTTTCCTTTATAACATATACAAAGCAATTTAACACAAAAACACAACTTAAAACATCTAAGCTGTGGAAAGGAGAATGTGTGTGGTGTAGTCAATAGGTAAATACTGTATTTATAAATATGCATGTACACAGTCTCCATTTATCACAACATTACTTCTATTTAATTCACTTTTTGGTGACTACCTATTATTCTCAAATATTTTGGAAGTGCTTTGATAGCTTAAAAGAAGAAAGTGAAGGAGAGTGAAGGAAGGCATAACTTATAAAAACATCCCATATATTAAAAATGCTGATGATACAATTCATTTAAAATGTGTAATACAAAATTGGATAAATATAAAGAAATTGTAAGATCACAGTTATGCAAATCTAGGCATGTAATAAATAGCAAGAACACTAGAAGGAAATACCTCAAAATATTATTTGTTAGAGGTAGAAATGAGTGGATATTTTTCCTTAGCCTACTCTCTTGTAGTTTCAAAGTTTTTTATGATGAACTTATCTTCCTTCTAACAAAAAAGATTGTCTTCATATAAGGTAAAATAAAACTGGCCTCAAGAGTTAAGATTGTTAAGTTTAAAAAGGAACATTGTCTGTTTAAATCTTAATTGGAGATAATTTCTTCTAGAAGAGATGTCGAACCTTGAGAAAACAATTTCTGGTGTAAGCCAATATTTTTGTACTTTAAGTTCTGTAACTAAAGCAATTTTATATTTAATCCTGTGGTAGAACTGGTTGCTAGGGTACTAAATTACCAGTTTATATAAGAAGACCCAGCTAAGGCATTGATTAGAAATGAGGCAAAAATTTGGGGAGTGCTTTCTAAAAAAGGGCAAAAAACAAAAGCCCTCATAGAAAAGCTCATAAGTTTTCAGAGGTGAACATGACCATGATGAGACATTTTTGTATAATCAAAACAAAGCCATGGCAATTGCACAAAGGAGTAACATGAGACAGTATAAATAACATAGACATTAGAGTCAGACAAGCCAATGCTCAAATCCCTCTCTGCTCCTTGCCATGATTTTCTACAAGTTATTTATCCTATCAAGCCGTAGTTTTCTCATCTATAAATGGCAAAGAATCATAACTGCCTCATAATATTGTTGGGAAGATTAAATATAGCAAAATAGACATATATGCCTGGTATGAGGTAGATATTGAGGAAATCGCTTCCTTCTTGCATAACCAACGATAAGTTTTCAAGAAGTTATCTCTTTGCCTATTTCTTTAAATAAACCTTTTACCTTTTCTTCTCTTATAAGTTAGGAATGCATTTGCCTTCAACTAACAGAAGAACCAGCCTCAAAATTGGCTCATGTAACAAGATATATGATGAAGACAATTGTCAGCATTGGCTCAGTTGCTCATTAATGCCACCAAGTGCGAAGTTCTTTCCACATTTTCTCTCCACTATCCTTAGTGGGTTGGCTTTCATACCCATTTTTCTTGCCTCAGGGCTGAAAGATGACCACTGAAGCTTCAGGTATCACATAAAAATTGAAGGTGGAAAGAAAACACAGAGGCAAAAGTCCTTTCATCTAAAGTTTTACCTTTTTATTTAACAAGAAATTTCTAGTTACACCTTATTACCCAATACCTAGTAAAATGACTGAGCAAGGAGAATGAGGTCCTTGAAATATTTCTTCACAATCTTATTGAGATATAACTCTCATATCATCTAATTCACTCATATTAAGTGTACAGTTTAATGTTTTTTAGTGCATTAACAAAATTGAGCAGCCATTACCACAGTCAATTTTAGAACATTTTCATCACCCCCAAAAGAAACCCTGTACCCATTAGCTGTCACTCTCCATTTTCTCCCAACTTACCCAGACCTGGGCAATGACTAATCTACTTTCAATGTCTATAGATTTGCCTATTCTGAATATTTTATATAAATAGAATAATATAGCCTAGGATCTTTTGTGACTGTCTTAGTTTACTTAGCATAACATTTTCAAGGCTTTCATGTTGTAACATATATGATTACTTTAAATGTTTTTGCCAAATAATATTTCATCATACAGATATAGCACATGTGACTTGTCCATTTATCAATTCATGAACATTTGGGTTGTTTTCACTTTTTAGTTATTATAAATAAAGCTATAGATATTTGTGTGTAAGTTTTATATAAACATGTGTTTTCATTTCTCTTGCATCTATGCCTAGGAGCAGAATTCTTAAGTCATATGGTAATTTGATAACCCTATATTTAACCTTTTGAGGGACTTATAGGCTGTGTTCCAAAATGGCTGCACCACTTTACATTTTCACAAGCAATGGTATATATATCCTGGAAAATGTTCCATGTGTGCTTCTGAGGAATTTACATTATGCTCTTGTTGAGTGGGGTATTAAAATCTCCAATTATTTTGTTAGATTGTCTATTTCTCCCTTCCAATTCTGTCAGTTTTTGTTTTATATATTTTGGGGCTCTGCTGTTAGGTGCATATATGTTTATAATTGTTATATCTTTATAATATAATGTGATAGATTGACCCTTTTATCAGATAAAAAGCTCTGTTATCTCTAGTAATATTACAGATAGTCCCCAAGTTATGAAGTTTAACTTAATTTTTCAGCTTTACAATGGTGCCAAAGCAATACACATTGAGTACATTTCTTAACTTACAATGGAGTTATGTCTGGATAAACTGATCATAAGTTGAAAATGTCATAAGCCAACTCCACAATATTTTCAACTTACAATGGGTTTATTAGTTTATAACCCCATCATGAGTCAAGGAGCATCTGTTTTTGTTTTCAAGTCTACTTTATCTGATAGCACATTCGCTCCAGCTCTCTTATGGTTGCTGTTTGAGTGATACTTTCAACCTATTTTTATCTTTGAATTGAATATATGTCTCCTGTGTATTGAATATAGTTGAATCTTGTTATTTTTCAATTCAATCTGACAATCTCTTCATTTGATTGGATTGTTTAATCCATTCACATTTAATGTCATTATTTATATTTACCTTTTGTTGTATTTACATCTGCCATTTTACTTTCTCTTTTTTCTATTACTTATCTTTTCCCATTTTGTTCCTCTCTTACTGCTTTCTATTTCATTAAGTGAGTATTTTCTAGTGTAACATTTTAACTAATTCCTTTAATGATTTTTCACTATAGTTTTTAGTTATTTTCTTAATGGTTGCTCTAGGATTGCAATATACATTTTAATTTATCAGAATTTACTTTAGATTTCTCCTAGCTTAATTCCAGTGAAATGTAGAAATGTTACTTCTATAAAACTCTATTCCTTCTTCTCTTGTTCTTGCTGTCATTAATTATTAAGAGATTATTTTTCATTTCAGCTATCACACATTTCAACTTCAAATTTCCATTGTCCTTTTTAATAATTTCTATCTCTTATTTTTATTCTCCACATGATGATATTGTCATCATATCTTCTTTTACTTCTTTAAGTATTGTTTTCTTTAGTTTTTTAACATATCTATAATACCTGCTTTGAAATCATTGACATCTGGACTTTCTCATAAAACATTATTTTTTTCTCCCCCACCCTAACCCTGTACAGGTTGTACTTTTCCCATTTCTTTGTATGTCTTATAATTTTTTTTTTGAAAACTGGACATTTTAGATAATACACTGTGGTGACACTTGATATTGTCCTTCTCCCAGAAGTATTGTTGCTTTGTTTGCTTGTTTATTCATTTAGTGATTTTATTGGGCAATGTCAGTAAAATACATTTACCTTGTAGCGTGTAGCCTCTGATATTTCTCCTCAGAGGACACAGACTTGAGTATGCATATGATTACCTTGGGAGGACAGTGGTTTTACCAGAATTATATTTGAATGTCTCCTTCCCATGATCTCTCTGTTAAGCTTCTAGCTCCTCTGCCTCTATTAGTATTACAATGGCAGTTAACCTCCTCCAGTATCCAGCTGATTTCTCTATTGTATTCCATAAAATCATGCATCATACACTTCTCCACAGTCTGATTCAGGCCCCTTTGCAGAAATAGTCTTTGAGGCTAGGCAGTGAGATTTTTTTCCGACCCCAGAAGGGCTCTTCTTAGCTGTTTCTTTCCCTGGTTCTCTCTGTTAAACTTCTAGCTGGTCTTCAGTTTAGCTTGTTGCTATCATGAAGCTCTCCTCTTAATTGATTACCACCAAAATCACCATTAATTTAAACATCACCCTTAGGTTTGAACCTCCCCATGTCTGTTCTTAGGCCTCCCCATCCCCTGAATGAAACCTCTGCACCACAGCTCTCGTGCTAGAGGTAGAGACAATGGCACCCTTATCTTAGAGTAGCACTCCTGATTTACAAGTGGGATACTGAATGGGGGAGGTAGCTCTCATGGCTTACTTTAGGGTCACTTTTGGTGTCCTGCATGGTAAGGATTTGAGCAAATGTACAGTGACATGTATGCACCATTACAGTATTATCCAGAATAGTTTCACTGCCTTAAAATCCTGTGTGCCCCACCTATGTATTTCCTCCACTAAGCACCTGGCAGTCACTGATACTTTTACTTTCTGCATAGCTTTGCCATTTCCAGAATATCATATAGTTTAAATCACAGTATGTAGCCTTTCAGATTGGCCTCTTTCAGTCAGTAATATGTATTTAAGTTTCCTCCATGTCTTTTCTGGCTTCGTAGCTTATTCTTTTTAGTACTGAATGATGCTCCCTAGTCTGGATGTATCAGTTTATCCACCCACCCACCTACTAAAGGATATCTTGATTGCTGCCAAGTTTTAGCAATTCCGAATAAAGCTGCTATAAACACCTGTGTGCAGGTTTTTGTGTAGACATAAGTTATAATCTTCTTTGGATAAATACCAAGGAGTATGATTGCTGGGTCATATGTTAAGAGTTTCTTTAGTTCTGTAAGAAACCACTAAACTATCTTCCAACATGACTGTACCATTTTGCATTCCTTCCAGCAATACATGAGAATTCCTATTGCTCCACATCTTCACCAGCATTTGTTGTTGTCAGTGTTTCAGAATTTTGCCATTCTAATAGGTATACAGTATTATCCCATTTTTGGTTTTAATTTGCATTTCTCTAATAATATCTGATATAAAGCATCTTTTCATATGCTTATTTGCCTTCTGTCTGTCTTCTTTGGTGAGGTATCCGTTAAGGTCTTTGACCCATTTTTTTAATTGGGTTTGTGTTCTTATTGTTGAGTTTTATGGTTCTTTGTATTCTTTGAATAATAGTCCTTTATCAGATATGTATTTTTCAAATATTTTCTCCCATTCTGTGACTTATCTTCTCATTCTCTTGATATTGTCTTTTGCAGAGAAGAAGCTTTTTATTTTTTTTTCTTTTTGACGGAGTCTCCCTCTGTCGCCCAGGCTGGAGTGCAGTGGCGCCATCTCGGCTCACTGCTGCAAGCTCCGCCTCCCAGGTTCACGCCATTCTCCTGCCTCAGCCTCCCTAGTAGCTGGGACGACAGGCGCCCGCCATCACGCCTGGCTAATTTTTTGTATTTTTAGTAGAGACGGGGTTTCACCGTGTTAGCCAGGATAGTCTCGATCTCCTGACCTCGTGATCCACCCTTCTCGGCCTCCCAAAGTACTGGGAATACAGGCGTGAGCCACCGCGCCCGGCCAAAAGCTTTTAATTTTAATGGAGTCTTGCTTATGAATTATTTCTTTCATGGATTCTGCCATTGCTGCTGTACCTAAAAAGTCATCTTTATATTCAAACTCATCTCCCATCTTGTCTAGTTTTATAGTTTTGTG
This sequence comes from Homo sapiens, assembly GCF_000001405.40. Taxonomy (NCBI): domain Eukaryota; kingdom Metazoa; phylum Chordata; class Mammalia; order Primates; family Hominidae; genus Homo; species Homo sapiens. Next base: position 11,895,861 of record NC_000006.12, read on the forward strand.
TTTTATACGTTGGCATACTGTCCATTTTGAGTTGATTTTCATGAAGAGTATAAGGCCTGTGTCTTTTTTTTTTTTCTTTGCCTGTGGATGTCCAGTTTTTTCAGTACCATTTGTTGAAAAGACTATCTCTACTTTGTTATATTGCCTCTATTTCTTTGTCAAAGATTAGGTAACTATATTTATGTGAGTCTATTCCTGATCTTTTTTCCATTGATCTATTTGTCTGCTTTTTGCCAATACCACACTGTCTTGATTATTGCAGCTTTATAGTAAGTATTAAAGTTGGATAGTGTCACTCCTCCAACTTCGTTCTTATCCTTTAGTATTGTGTTAGCTATTCTGTGTCTTTTACCTGTCTGTATAAATGTTAGAGCAAGTTTGTTAATATCCACAAAATAACTTGCTGGGATTTTGATTGGGATTGCATTGAATCTATAGATCAAGTTGGGAAGAAAGAGAATTTTGACAATATTGAGTCTTCTGTTCTATGAACATGTAATCTCCATTAGTTCCTCTTTGATTTTATTCATCAGTTTTGTATTTGTTATAGATCTTGCACATATTTTGTTATATTTATACCCAAGCCTTTTATTTTGGGGGGCTGCTAATGTAAATGGTATTGTGTTTTTAATTTCAAATTCCACTGTTCCTGGCCGGTGTATAAAAACATGATTGACTTTTGTGTATTAATCTTGTATCCTGCAACCTTGCTATAATAGCTTTTTAGTTCCTGGAATTTTTCGGTGGTGGTTATTGTTGTAGTTGTTTATTCTTTTGGATTTTCTAGAGACTATTATGTCATCTGTGAATCTTTTATTTCTTCTTTCTCAATCTGTGTACATTTATTTCCTTTCCTCATCTCATTGCATTAGCAAGGACTTCCTCACCTTTTTTCTAATTTTAGCAGGCAAATTTCTGGTTTCTCACAATGTTAGCTGTGGGGTTATTTGTAGATTTTTTAAAATCATATTGAGGAAGTTTCCATCTATATCTAGTTTGCTGAAAGTTTTTATTATGAATGGGTATTGGATTTTGACAAATGTTTTTTTCTGTATCCACTGATGTCCACATGAATTTTCTTCTTAAGCCTGTTAATGTGATAAATTACAATTTTCGAATGTTGAATCAGCCTTGTATATCTGGGATAAATCCCACTTGGTAATGGTATATAGTTATTTTTATAAATTGCAATGTAATTTACTAACATTTTGTTGAGGATATTTGCATCTATGTTCACTAGAGATATTGGTCTGTATTTTTTTTTGTAATATCTTCGTTTGGTTTTAATATTAACATAATACTGGCCTCGTAGAATGAGTTAGGAAGTGTTCCCTTTGCTTGTCCTCTGAAAGAGATCATAGAAAATTGATATAATTTCTTTTTTTAAATCTTTGATAGAATTCACCAGTGAACCTCTTCGGATTTGTTACTTTCTGTTTTGGAGGTTAGTATTACTTATTATTGACTTAATTTCTTTAATAGATATAAGTCTATTCAGACTGTTTCTTCTTGCCTAAGTTTTGGTAGATTATGTCTTTCAAAGAACTGGTCCATTTCATTTAGGTTATCAAATTTGTGGGCATAAAGTTATAATAGCATTCTTTATTATTATTCCTTATTATCCTTACAGTGTCTCTGGGATCAGTAGTGATATTCTCTCTTTCCTTTCTGATATTAGTAATTTGTGTTCCCTCTTTTTTTTTTAATTAGTCTGGCAAACGGCTCCTTAATTTTATTGATCTTTTCAAATAACCAGTTTTTTGTTTCATTGGTTTTCTTTATTGATTTTCTGGTTTCCATTTTATTGATTTCTGCTGTAATTTTTATTATTTCTTTTATTCTTACCTTGAACTTAACTTCCTCTTTTGTTCTAGTTTCTTAAAATGGAAGCTGAGATTATTGATTTAGATGTTTTGTTTATAATACATGCATTCAATGTTATAAATTTCTCTGTAAGCACTACTTTTGCTGGATCCCACAAGTTTTGGTAAGTGTGTTTTCATTTTTATTTAGTTCAAAATATTTTTAAATTTAAGATTTCTCTTTTGACCCATGTGTTACTTAGAAGTGTGTTATTTAATTTTCATGTATTTCAAGATTTTGTAGTTATCTCTCTGTTATTGGTGCCTAGTTTAATTTCATTGTGGTCTGAAGGCAGACATCGTATGATTTCTATTCTTTTAGATTTTTAAGGTGTGATTTACAGCCCAGAATGTGATCTATCTTAGTGAATGTTTCCTGAGAGCCTGAGAAGAATATGTACTCTGCTTTTGTTGGATAAACTAGTTTATAGATATCAATGATATCCAGTTGATTAATAGTGTCACTGAGTTAAACTATATCCTTACTGATTTCCTATCTGTTGGATCTACCTATTTCTGATCTAAGGTTGTTGAAGTCTCCAACTATGATAGTGGATTCAACTATTTCTTCTTGCACTTCTATCAGATTTTGCTCCAGGTAGTTTGATGCTCTGTTGTCAGGCACATACATTTGAAGAATTGTTATGTCTTCTTGGAGAATTAACCCTTGGAGAATATAATAATTTTATCATTATATAATGCCCTTCCTTATCTCTGATAATTTCTTTTATGTTATATTGTCTCCATCTGAAATTAACATAGATACTCCTGCTTTCTTTTGATTAATGTTAGCATATTATATCTTTCTCCATCCATTTACTTTTCATCTAGATGTGTCTTAATATTTAATATGGGCTTCCTGTAGACAGCATGATTTGGGGTCTAGTTTTTTGATCCCCTCTGACAATCTCTGTCTTTTAAGTGGTATGCTTAGACCACTGATGTTCAAACTAATTAATATAATTGGATTAATATCTACCATATTTATTACTATTTTCTATTTGTAGCCCTTGTTGTTTCTTTTTTTAATCTTCCATTATTTTGCTGCTTTTTGTGGTTTTAATTGTGCATTTTATATGATTATGTTCTCTTTTATTTAGCATATCAGTTATACTTCTTTTATTTTACTTTTTTTAGTAAGTGCCTTAGAGTTTGCAGTGTACATTTACAATTCATCCAAGTCTACTTTCAAATGACAGTATATATACCACTTTACAGTGGTAAATGTGAGTTCCTTATACTAACCAAACAATCCTAATTCCTCCCTGTTGTCCGTTGCATCATTGCTGTCATTCATTTCACTTATATTTAAGCACACATAAGCAAATACATATTTGAATAAATTGCTATTACTATTTTGAACAAGCTGTTATCTGTTAGATCATTAAGAATAAGAAAAATCAAAGTTTTCATTTTATCTTGACTTATTCCATCTTTAATGTTCTTTCTTTTTTTTTTTTTTTTTTTGTGAGACGGAGTCTCGCTCTGTCACCCAGGCTGGAGTGCAGTGGCGTGATCTCAGCTCACTGCAACCTCCACCTCCCCAGTTCAAGCGATTCTCCTGCCTCAGTCTCCCAAGTAGCTGGGACTACAGGTGCGTGCCACCACGCCTGGCTAATTTTTTGTATTTTTAGTTGAGACGGGGTTTCACCACGTTAGCCAGGATGGTCTTGATCTGACCTCATGGTCTGCCCGCCTCAGCCTCCCAAAGTGCTGGTTCTGTCTTTATTTATGTAGATCTGAGTTTCTCACCTGTATGGTTTAACTTCTCTATAAAATATTTTTTACTTATAATGTTATTTTGTATTTTGCTTATTATAAGTTTTATATTGTTGCCTAAATAGATTTTATTTGCATAAATTTACAGGGTACATGTGCACATTTGTTACATGAATATATTGTGTAGTGGTGAAAGAAAATAGACATTTCTTGCAAAGCAGGTTTACTGACAACAAATTCCTTTAATTTTTGCTTGTCTAAGAAAGTATTCTCCTTCACTTTTGAAGGAGAATCTTACAGGGTACAAAATTCTAGGTTGGTGGGTTTTTTCCTCTAAACTCTTTGAATATTATACTCCACTCTCTTCTTGCTTGGATGGTTTCTGAGGACAAGTCAGCTGTAATTCTTATTTTCTTTTCTCTATAGGCAAGGTATTTTTTCCCCTCTGGCTTCCTTCAGGATTTTTTTCTTCATCTTTGATTTTTCTATAGTTTGAAAATGATATGCCTAAGTGTGTTTTTTTGGCATTTATCCTGCTTCTTATTCTATGCTCTTCCTGAAGCTGCGGTTTGGTGTTTGACACTAATTTGGGGAAATTCTCAGTCATTTTTGTATCCAATATTTCTTCCATTTATTTCCCTTTCTTCTCCTTCTGATATTCTCATTACATATATGTTACACCTTTTGTAGTTGTCCCACAGTCCCTGGATATTCTGTTTTTGTTTCTTGCAATCTTTGTTCTCTTTGCTTTTCACTTTTGGTGGTTTCCAGTGATATGTCCTCAAACTCAGAGATCCTCTCCTCAGCCAGTCCAGTCTACTAGTAAGCCCATCAAAGGGATTCTTCATTCCTCTTACAGTGTTTTTGATCTCTAACATTTATTTTTGGTCTTATCTTGGGATTTCCATTTCTCCGCTCACATTGTCCATCTGTTCTTGCATGTTATCTACTTTATCCATTACAGCCCTTAGTGTATCAATTACAATTGTTTGAAATGTCTGGCCTGATGATTCCAAAATCCCTTCCAGGTCTGGTTCTGAGGCTTCCTTGGTCTCTTCAAATTGTTGGGGTGGGGGGGTTCTACCTTTTAATATGCATTGTAATTTTTTCTTGATAGTCAGACATGATGTACTGGGTAAAAGGAACTGCTGTAAATAAGCTTTATTAATGTGTTGGGACAGGGAAAGTGTTCTATAGTCTTATGATTAAGTTTCAGTCTTTCACTCGACCTGTGTCTCAACTGTGAACTTCTCAAGTTTTTCTGTTTGTTTGTTTTTTTCTCTCCCCTTTTAGGTGGGAGAGAATGGATGGAGTGCACTGGAATTGGGTATTTTCCTTCTTTCACATGGAAGGTTAGAGTTGACCAGAGTTGGGTATGTCCCTTCCCCCAAGTCAGTTAGACTCTGACAATACCCCAGCAGGTGAGGCTATAGTTAACTAGTTTCTCCCGAGGGTAATCCTTGTTAAGAACAGATTGCTCTGGCGTAGTTTTAAATGGTTCCTTTTGCTCACCTCCTGCTGAAAGCATGAAGAGATTCTTCTCTGATATTTTCTGTGAGAATCTGATCAAGCTCCTAGAGGTGAAACTCACAAATATTTGGTAGTCGCTCTAGACTGGGTTGCTCCGGAGTTTTTAACTCTCAGGCTTGTTCGCCCTGATTCTCCAGCAATTTGTAAATTAGAGCTCAGGTTTTCCTGCCCCAGCACCGGTCCCCACAGTGGTTTCCACAGGTGAGTCTCTGCTCTGGAAGACGGTAACTCCCTGCACTTGCCTGTCTGTCTCTCCAATCGTGGGAATAACGTCCTTACCTCTCTTTCAGATCATAGAAGAGTTGTTAATGTTTCAGTATGCTCAGCTTTTAACATGCTGTTAGGGCAGACTGGCAACTTCCAAGCTTCTTATCTTACATGCAAAACTGAAAACCCTAACTTGCTTTTTCTGGTTTGATAGGTTTGTGATTTTAGTACTTTAAAAATGTCGGTGCACTGTATTCCGGCTTACGTGGTTTCTGATGAGAATTCAGTCGTTCTTATCTTGGTTGTTCTGTACATAATGTCTTTTTTCTCTGCCTGCTTTTATGATTTTTCTCTATCACTGTGTTTTAGTAATTGCATATCATGTTCTTAGTGTCATTATTTTTATGTTTATTCTACTTAAGGTTTTGGGGGCTTTTTTATATCTGTAGGTTTATAGTTTTCATCAAATTTGTAACATTTCTGACAATTTTTTGTTTAAATATTTTGACATCCTCCCCTCTGTGGCCCTGCTCCTCCAAGACGCCAAATATACATATGTTAGAATGCTTTATATCTTTCCAAAAGTCACTAAGTGTCTATTAATTTTCTCAAATGTTTTTTCTCTCTGTGATTGAGTTTGGATGGTTTCTCTTGCTGTGTTTTCAAGTCCACTGATTTTTATTTTTAGGAGAAGGACAAGTTTAATTAGTTCCTTCCAGTGAATGTTTTAAGATGAAGTTTTACATATATATATATGTATATGTGTGTGTGTATATATATGTATATATATATGTATACACACACATATACATATATATATACACACACACACACGTATATATATACACACACACACATATAGAAGTTCCATTTGGGCCTTTTAAAAAAGTTCTTGTCTGCTAATTCCATCAATTCTGTCATTTCTTGGTCTGATTTTATTGTGTTTATTTGTTTTGGGGCTTTTGTGTTGTTATGGGTCATACTTTCTTGGTTCATTGCATGCCTCTTAAGTTTTGGTTAGATGTTAGACATTTTAGATTTTTACATTTTTGAGTTTGGAATTTTGTTTTCTTTCTGTAAAGAGTGCTGGACTTTGCTGTGGCATGTTGTTAAAACTTTTTGCCCATCTGTTCTATATGTTTATGTTCTTTATAAGCAAATTTTGGATCAGGTATGGAGTGGCTTTTACTCTAGGGCTAATTAAGTCATTGTACTAAGACAGGACTCCTCTGAGAACGTTAACAAATAACCCTTGCCTTATGAGGTCTCTACTTTCTGGCTGGTGATAAAGCAATTTTTTCTCAATGTGAATGAACTCTGGGAAGCATTTGGCTTACTCTTTTCTAGTGGTTCTTTCCTTGGCCTCATGGAGTTTGAACACCACCCAGGTGTTGGCGGGAACTCAATGAGAGACTCTAGCAGAATGCTCTGCAGATCTCTGGAGATGCTCATGTGTGCAGTTCTTCTTCTTGATACTCGGACTCACAAATTCTAGTCACCTCAGCCTTCTGGAACACTGAGTTCTGCCTCCTCCACTCACTATAACTGGCTGGTTCTGTTGGGGTTTCCCCTCTCTGCAGTGAAGTCACATACACTTACAACAGTTAGCTTCTATCCTATTGGCCAGAATTTAATAATGTGAAAACACCTAGGTATATAAAATACTGAGAAATGTTTTTATTTTGGGTGGGCCCAGCTCAGCTAAAACTCAGGAGGTCTAATTTTGAGAAACAAGGGAAAAACAAATACTTACAGATTAACAGCAATCTTTTACATAAAAATTTTCCACCCCCAAGTGAAAATAAGTAGCAGTTTCACTTTTTCAAAGGCTTTAGACTATTTTGTTTCCTAGAAATATATTTATTTTCATTAATAGATTATTGGGTCTGACCTCCAACTCAGATAAAACCATTGGATTCCATTTTTTATTATCCCTATGAGTTCTATCCTAAGAATATGAAATAATTCAAGATTCCATTAAGTCAGGCACAAATTACCCTTTAATTATATTAGTAGTCTATCATCAAAAGTCTTTAGAGTGGGCCGGGCGCGGTGGCTCACGCCTGTAATCCCAGCACTTTGGGAGGCCGAGGCGGGCAGATCACGAGGTCAGGAGATCGAGACCATCCCGGCTAAAACGGTGAAACCCCGTCTCTACTAAAAATACAAAAAATTAGCCGGGCGTAGTGGCGGGCGCCTGTAGTCCCAGCTACTTGGGAGGCTGAGGCAGGAGAATGGCGTGAACCCGGGAGGCGGAGCTTGCAGTGAGCCGAGATCCCACCACTGCACTCCAGCCTGGGCGACAGAGCGAGACTCCGTCTCAAAAAAAAAAAAAAAAAAAGTCTTTAGAGTGAAAAGGAAAATACATGAATGTATAATAAAAGCCAAGAAAATGTAAAACTATTCATTCTGGGTAGGAGTTGCAGGCTTCTCTGAGTTCAGAGATATTTATGTAAGATGTGCTTAGAAGAACAATGTCTTTTTAAGCTTTGCATCCCATGACATATTAACAGTAAAATTTAAAAGGGACTCAGTAATCAGCAAAATGACTTATATGAGAATGTTCACAACTTGTTTCATACTAACCGAAACCTGGAAATGGTCCAGGATGGATCCATAGGTGAATGGATTAGTTGTAATATATGCATACAAGGGTATATGCATACTCATCAATAAAAAGAAACAAACTATTGATACATGCAACAACATGGATATGTCTCAAAAGCATTATGCTGGATGAAACATGTTTTATACAAAACAGTACATGCTGGCTTTACTAATATCAGTGGCTGATTCCACTAATATCAAGCTCTGGAAATAGCAAAATTAATCTATGGTGGAAAAAAGGTAAAACAGTCTCTGCGGGTGGGGGAAGGAATTGACTTGGAAGAGACATGAGGAAACTCTAAGGGGAGATGGTAATGTTTTATATCTTAATCATAGTTTTGGTTATACAGGTGTGACCATTGGTCAGAACTCAGTGACTGTACGTTTCAAACTTATGCATTTGATTATTTTATATCAAAAGAAGAAAATGTATATTGATATTGAACTCTAGTTAATATTATGTCTGCTGAAATACTTAGAAGGAAGTACATTTATGTCTACAATTTCCTTTAAAATGCATGAAAATAATGAGTTGATTGGAGGACAGAGGGATGGATGGATGCCTGCATAGTAAAATGTTAATAGTAGAGTCTTGGTGGTGTGTATATGAGTGTTCACTGTACAAGTCTTTTAATATTGCAGTTAAAAATTTTTTAAATAAATATTGAGAGGAAAAAGCGAGTGTGAGGGTAGCTTTGAGGCAAATGTCTGGATAGAATTTTTAGCCAGAATAACTTCAGTAAACTAGGATGGTATTCGTCTTCTTTAAAGTGTATGACTCTCTTAGCCTGGAGGGAAAAAAGGTATAGAAAGGTTTACACAGTCAAAACCACAGTTTAATATTTACAGATTGAGAAGGATTCTGTGTATATTTAGTATTTCATATTGATGTAATGTTTAAGAGAATGTGACCTAATAGAATGACAATCTCATAACTCCAATTTGAAACATGTAAATAAGTAACTGAGATAGACTTCTGTTTTTTTTTAACTTCTATTTTAGGTTCAGGGGTACATGTGAAGGTTTGTTACATAGGTAAATTCATGTCACGGGGGTTTGTTGTACAGATTATTTCATCACCATACTGGGCTTAGGTATTAAGCCCAGTTCCTAATAGTTATCTTTTATGCTCCTCCCGCTCCTCCCACCCTCCACCCTCAAGTAGATCCCAGTGTCTGTTGTTACCTTCTTTGTGTCCATGAGTTCTCATCATTTAGTTCCCACTTACAAGTCAGAACGTGCAGTATTTGGTTTTTTGCGCCTGCATTAGTTTGCTAAGGATAATGGCCTCCAGCTCCATCCATGTTCCTGCAAAAGACATGATCTCATTTTTTTTATGGCTGCATCGTATTCCATGGTATGTATGTACCACATTTTCTTTATCCAATCTGTCATTGATGGGCATTTAGGTTGACTCCATGACTTTGCTATTGTGAACATTGCTGAAATGAATGTTCATGTGCAAGTGTCTTTATAGTAGAATAATTCATATTCCTTGGGGTATATAGCCAGTTATGAGATTGCTGGTTCAAATGGTAATTCTGCTTTTAGCTCTTTGAGGAATCGGCATACTGCTTTCCACAATGGTTGAAGTAATTCACACTCCCAATAACAGTGCATTAGTGTTCCTTTTCTCCACAACCTCGCTAGCATCAGTTATTTTTTGGCTTTTTAGTAATAGCCATTCTGACTGGTGTGAGATGGTATCTCATTATGATTTTGATTTGCATTTCTCTAATGATGAGTGATATTGAGCTTTTTTCATACGCTTGTTGCCTGCATGTATGTCTTCTATTGAAAAGTGTCTTTTCATGTCCTTTGCCCACTTTTTAATGGGGTTCTTTGTTTTTTTCTCATACATTTGTATAAGTTTCTTATAGATGTTGGGTATTAGACCTTTGTCAGATGTATAGCTTGCAAATATTTTATCCCATTCTAGTTCTTTGAAGAAAGTTATTGGTAGTTTGATAGCAATAGCACTGAATCTGTACATTGCTTTGAGCAGTATGGACATTTTAATGATATTGATTCTTCCTATCTATGAGCATCGGATGCTTTTCCATTTGTGTCTTCTCTGATTTCTTTGAGCAGTGTTTTGTAACTCTCATTGTAGACTTCTGATTTTAAACTAAAATCTTACTAAGTTTAGTTTAGTATTGGAAATTTTACAATATATAAGACTTAAATGCTCAGAAAGATTTTGTTGTTGTTGAGAAAATTGAAATACATGTCCTATAAAACTAAATTAAACGTGTCAAATTTATAAACAAAATTTTAAACGTTTGAAGGTTTAAACATTTTAGCAAAATCTGTAAATATGACCAAACTGAATTTAAAAACCCCTTAAAAATAACTGATAAAATTTACTAGACTTAAAAATAGAGTAAGATTTGTAAGCTAAATTGAAAGCCTATGAATTGCATTTTTTTAAAACTGCCTTCAAGTTTTTCAAAAAGCTCATATCAATAGAAAGAAGCTTCACTACCAAAATATTTTTCAGGGAATATTTTGGATCACAGAGGTAGGCTGAAATAGCGAGCTTTCCAACAGATTTTTTAACGTTCATAGAAAATATCAACCCAATCATCAGCTAGGCTATTTTCTAAAGTATATAGAACTACATGTAATAAGCAAAATATTCCAGGACTCTTTTGAGGAGTTTAACAATATAGCTAACTTCAAAATCACTGCTACTCAATGTTAGCAAAAGTTCAGGGAGAGAAGCACTATTTACCAAATGTTGCCTAAAGTATATGCAATTCATCCATTTCTCCAAGTAACCTAAACCTTCTACAGAATTAAGCCAGACCATCAGAAAGCTGGTCTCCATTCTCCTTGTCCTTCCCATTTAACACCACAGAACTTCTTTTTTTTGGCGGGGGGGGGGTGGGAATAGCCTTGTTTATTCTTTTTTTTTTATTATACTTTAAGTTCTAGGGTACATGTGCACAACGTGCAGGTTTGTTACATATGTATACATGTGCCATGTTGGTGTGCTGCACCCATTAACTCATCATTTACATTAGGTATATCTCCTAATGCTATCCCTCTCCCTTCCCCCAACCCCACGACAGGCCCCGGTGTGTGATGTTCCCCTTCCTGTGTCCAAGTGTTCTCATTGTTCAGTTCCCACCTATGAGTGAGAACATGTGGTGTTTGGTTTTTTGTCCTTGTGATAGTTTGCTGAGAATGATGGTTTCCAGCTTCATCCATGTCCCTACAAAGGACATGAACTCATCCTTTTTTAGGCTGCATAGTATTCCATGGAGTATATGTGCCACGTTTTCTTAATCCAGTCTATCATTGATGGACATTTGGGTTGGTTCCAAGTCTTTGCTATTGTGAATACTGCAGCAATAAACCTATGTGTGCATGTGTCTTTATAGCAGCATGATTTAAATCCTTTGGGTATACACCCAGTAATGGGATGGCTGGGTCAAATGGTATTTCTACTTCTAGATCCTTGAGGAATCGCCACACTGTCTTCCACAATGGTTGAACGAGTTTACCATCCCACCAACAGTGTAAAAGTGTTCCTATTTGTCCACATCCTCTCCAGCACCTGTTGTTTCCTGACTTTTTAATTATCTCCATTCTAACTGAACACCATAGAACTTCTTTGAATAGACTTTTTTTTCAAGACTGTGGCATCAACCTGCATGCATTGCGTTGTGGGAAACAAATCTATGAAATTTGATGTTGGACACACTCTTGATTAACTGAGGACTCCATTCACTGCATCACACAGGGTCTTCTTGCCAGAGACCCACAGGAGGAAATTTGCTGGGGACATAGTACCAGGGAAAGTTGTGTCTTGACCTTAATTATTTTATGAATCAGATAAATAATCATTACATCATCTTTCTCTGTATTGGCTGCTAGAAACCTCAGAGACACATCCATGGACTTCTACAAACTATGGTGATTCTCATGGCCCACATATTATAGATTGAGCTCTCCTTTGACTTGGCTTGACTTGACTTTTTCAACTTATTTTTATTTCACTAAATCATGTTTACTTATTTTTATCTTGTGTTATTTTGTATTAATAGGTATACATAAGTATATATGCTGTAAGTCTGTAAATCACTCTTAGAATGATTAATGGAACACAGTAACTCCTAACTGTATTGTTCATCAGCAAAAGCGAAATTTCAAAACCAAAGGGAAGCAATGCAGACAGAGATGAGACAGAGGACCCTACATGACAGCTGAAAGTAGGTTAAAAAAAAACCTATAAAAAAGATACACTGTTTTTAATTGTCTTCTGAAAAAAGTTTGGAAGGTGGGAGGTTGAGGGAGCAGGGAATATGTGAAAATTCGATAAACTCCTTTCACACAATAACAACTTATTATTTTGTGCACGTTTCATGTTTCAAAATATCTACAGAAATGCCAATTTATATTTTCTGGAGTTTGAGGTACAGACAACCTTTAGTTATTATAAATCCTATCTCTTGCTAAATTTAAATTAATTCCACATTTGCTCAGGGAGGTCAAGACCAAGTCACAGTGCTGAGTCCTCAGTATATAATCCTTGGTTTCAGTCCTCACCTCTTTTGTGCAGGAAAAATCTGTGGTAGTTCTTGCTCTTTCAGTGTTCAGAAGTGTTTCAATATGTTCTAAAGCACACTCATTGCTATGAGAAAAAAATTTCATCATACATTATTTCTAGTGGACAGTCAAGGCTTTGTGTCCTCAGTAGACCACATATGTTGCACGCTGTTTGCTAAACAGACTTTCCTCTGGAAAATCACAGCCATCCCCATCAGTCCATATGCTTCCAGATGGAGATGAGTCCTCTCCCAGCCCCAGTGATGGGATATCCCTGGCCTTTAAGCCAATTAGCAAACCTGATACCCCTAGCCATAGTGATTGGTTCATATTACACAGCCAGTAATACATATTGGCAAGTCTGCTGGGAAAGATAGAAAGCAAGTATTCTCTCTCTTCAGCTAGATTTAATGATGTGAGAATTTAACATTTGTAGCTGCTTTAACCATCTGGAGAAAGCCTGGATCTACTGGGAGCACCACATATAGCCTGGCTTACAGCTAACCCAAAAGAGAAAGAGGGCCTTGGGAGAGAACAAAGTGACATACTTAAACCCTGAAGCAGATCGTGCCTGAGGCTACCTTTGCCCATAAACAATTCCAGGTAATTGAGTCAATACATTTATTTTTGCTTAAACCAATTTTGAATGGGTATTTCTGCCAATAGTGTACCACCTAAAGATATCCAGAGTTAAATTTAATTTTGCCTTCTTGCCTACCATTGGCAAATAGAAAAAAAAGTTTATTTTCTTTTTCTCTGTATCTCTTCTATCAATGTACATATACCATACTTGTGTGCATTACTTCCTTCATTCTTATATCTCCTACCCTTTCAAAACGGTGAGCTGGAAGTATGCAATTTTTTTTCTCTCAAGTAATTCTTTCTTGACAGTGAGATTCAGGCAGTTATTTGAAGGCTGCTAAGAACAGGTGAGGACTTATGCATAAGCCTGCTGGCTGAAAATAAAATAAAGCATGCTGAAGTCCTTCTCACATTTCTTTCTTTCTTTCTTTTTTTTTTTTTTGAGACAGAGTCTCACTACATCACCCAGGCTGGAGTGCAGTGGCATGATCATGGCTCACTGTGGCCTCAACCTTCCCGGCTCAAACGATCTCACATTTCTTAAATTGCTCTTACCAAGGCTTTAAAAGTCCACCATATGGGAGACCATGATCCATTCTGCAGCAAGTCTAGACCCCTACAGTTCAGAGTTAGCAAAGTGTGGTCCAAGGTTCCTTGGCATCAGCATCGCCTGGGGTGCCTGGGACAAAGCAGTTCACTGGCTTTCTCCCGGCCTAGAAACCCTAATCTGTAGGAGCCTGGCCTGCTAATCTCAGTTCTAATAAATTCCCCAAGTGATTCACATGCACGGTAATGTTAGAGAATTCTAACATTACCTTGCAGCGATGCTTGCAGTATTGCTGCAGTAGCTTCATCCTGTCAACAGCGGCGACATGAAAATTACTTCCGTAATAGTTTTCTATCACTGTGAAAAATCCATCCCCCTCATTTATGGGTAATGTAGCTGCTTTTAAATGTAAAATTACAGTAATGGGAGAATTTTAACTGGTTGGAATTGAATGAAATGCAAGGAACACTGAAGGAATTTCAAAAACACTTTGCACTGAATCATTTATTTTGAATGTCTTTCTTTATCTAAATCAATTGTTCTTAACCTCGGCTTTATGTCAGCTTCTTCGAATACTGCTGTCTAGGCCACATGCCAGAATGATGAATTCAGAATCTCTAAAGATGAGAGTTAGTCATTAGTGTTGGAACTATGGCTAGTCAAAGCCCATAGAGAAGACTATTTTCATGATTCTAGAGGCGAAATTCATTATTATGAAGACACCAGACCTGAGAATAACCCCAAAGAATATAAAACTCCATTGAATGGGAGATCCTGGTCTATCTCCACTACTGTAATTCCTACTATCGTCTCCAGAATATCTCTTCACTTCTGTATACCTTTTCAAATCCAATTTTTCTGAGATTATTATGGCAGATTTCAGAGCTAATTAAGATATCAATTTCCCAAGACCATAATCACATCAGAAACAGGTTTACATTTTTAAAGATTTACCATGCCCTCATCCGGTTACATTCATATCACAGAAATATACAGTTGACCCTTGGGACTAGGATTGGGAGCACCCATCTCCCACTAAGTCAAAAATTCACATGTATCTTTTGACTCCCCCAAAACTTAACTACTAATAGCCTACTGTTGAATGGAAGCCTTACCAATAGCACAGTCAATTAACACATATTTCGTATGTTATATATATTTTATACTATATTCTTAAAGTAAATTAGAGAAAAGAAAATGTTATTAAGAAAACATATTTACTATTCAGGGGTAAGGTGTGGTGGCTCATGCCTGTAATCTCAACTTTGGGAGGCCAAAGCAGGTGGATCACTTGAGGTCAGGAGTTCAAGACCACTCTGCACAACATGATGACACCGCCTCTCTACTAAAAAAATTAGCTGGGCATGGTGGTGGACACCTGTAATCCCGGCTACTCAAGAGGCTGAGGCAGGAAAATCACTTGAACCTGGGAAGTGGAGGTTGCAGTGAGCTGAGATTGAGCTGCTGCACTCCAGCCTGGGTGACAGAGAGAGATTCTCTCTCTCTCTCTCTCTCTATCTATCTATAACCCATTCATTAAGTGGAAGTGGATCATCACAGGTTTTCACCCTTATTATCTTCACATTGAGTAGGCTGAGGAGGAGGAGGGAGAGGAAGAGTTGATCTTGCTCTCTCAGAGATGGCAGAAGTGGAAGAAAATCTACGTATAACTGGACCCACACAATTCAACTCGTTTTGTTCAAGGTCATCTGTACGTACAGGCAGTCCCTGACTTAGATGGTTTGATATACAATTCTCCAACTTTACAGTGGTACGAAAGCAACACACATTAAGTAGCAACCTTACTTCAAGTACCCACACAACCATTCTTTTTTTCACTTTCAGTACAGTATTCAATAAATTACATTATGTATTCAATATTTTATTATAAGAGGCTTTTTGTTAAATTATTTTGCCCAACTGTACATTAATATAAGTGTTCTGAGCACATTTAACATAGGCTAGGCTAAGCTATAATGTTCAGTAAGTTAGGTGTATTAAATCCATTCCTGGCATGATATTTTCATCTTATGGTGGGTTTATTGGGATGTAATCCCATTGTAAGTCAACAGCATTTATATTTTTTAATTCACTATACCCACTTTAGCAAACAAAAACCAGAGGAAATGAGCCAGTTTTTCACATAGCCATTTCAAGAGGCTGAGGATGTTAGATGGATAAGATCTCTGTCAAAGACCTAATGGCTTTAATGAGCTCAGCAATGTAAAAGTATGTGGGCAAAAATTGCTCAGAATGCACTAGTTCCTTTTTCCTGATGTCAGAATACCACAGCCTTATAGCAGAGCTGTGGCTTGATTAATCGATTCAGAATGATTCCTGTTGAGCAACTGTCTTTTTGAAGGGAATGCCAGTGCAATCTGCTAACAACTGTCACTTTATATTAAGTATGAATTATGCTGTATAATGGGTTCAGGTGCTCATATAAATTGACTGTCATAAAATCCTTATGTGTGATGTTTCAGTAAAATTATCCATTCAGATGATGAAAACAAAGGAGTGGAATAGGACAAGACTATAAAGGTGTTATCCTTCCCACTGTTCATGAGAAAAACACGGTCCAAAATTACTACTGCTTTATTGTTCACCCAGCTCGGTAATTAGCAGCCCCCTCCCCCTAAAATTTTTGGGCACAGAGATGATGTTATGAGAAAAGACAAGATAGAAAACTCTCACACACTGTTGGTGTGGATTGATTACAACCAATCATTGTGTATCAAAATATGTATTAAGGTGTAGTACTGCATAGCCTTTGACCCAGTAATTTTCACTTCCAGGTATTTAGCCCTAGGAGATAATACCACAAGTTCAAAAAAGTTTATGCATAAGAGCCTTTATTATAGCATTGTTTAGATCAGTAAAAATTGAGAAACAACAAATGTTTATAGCAAAGTGTTGTGTATAGCAGGGGTCCCCAACCCTGGGGGCCACAGACCAATACCAGTTAGGAATGGGCTCACACAGCAGGAGGTGGGTGGCAAGCGAGCATTATGGCCTGAGCTCCGCTTCCTGTCAGATCAGTGGTGGCATTAGATTCTCATAAGAGTGACAACCCTATTGTGAACTATGCATGCGAGGAATCTAGGTTGCACGCTCCTTATGAGAATCTAATGCCTGATGATCTGAAGTGGAACAGTCTCATCCCAAAACCATCCTCTGCCCCCTTCTGGTCTGTGGAAAAATTGTCTTCCATGAAACCTGTC
Organism: Homo sapiens; assembly: GCF_000001405.40. NCBI lineage: Eukaryota > Metazoa > Chordata > Mammalia > Primates > Hominidae > Homo > Homo sapiens. The sequence continues at coordinate 11,912,690 of NC_000006.12, forward strand.
CCTGGTGCCAAAAAGGTTGGGGACGGTGGTAGAACATGTATGTGATGGTATTATGAAAACACTAAAAATGATTAATAACTATGGTAAATGTATTCACACGGAAAGATGCTCAATACATTTAATTGACTACAAATAAAGTTTATAGAACAGTATATATGGTAATGCTCATTTGTGTAAAATTTTATACATGTATCTACATGTGAATATAAAATAATATCCAAAAGAATGGCCGTTAAAATTTTAATGGTAGAATCTAGAGTGATTTCTACTTTTTTCATTACTTTTCTCTGTTGCTTGAATTTCTATAATGAACACTCAGCAATTCTGCAAAAACAATAAAGCTATTTAAAAAGAAATGAATATGATAAGAAACTTTATATGATTACAAATGAGGCGGAGGAATTTGAAAAGGTTCTAACGATTACACCTCCATTCAGAGATGATGATAATGACAATGATGGATGAATTGTATAATAATCTTATATGATAGCAAAAACATTAATTTACAATTATTAGGAGTAGCATTAGGCACTTAGCACTGTAGTAACAATAGTAATAAATGGACTTGGAACTGAAATTAAATAAACAAGCATGAAAGCATTTGCAAGCATATCGCATGGGGAGATTGAGGCCATTCTGTTGGGGAAATACGACATGACATCTGAGAATTGCAATGTCAGAGTAACAAGCAGGGTTTAACACAATTCAGGAGAGTTTGTCTTGGCGTAGGAAGAGCTTTTGAGAGGAAATGAATGTGAGAGGTGAATTTAGAAGTGTGAGGTAGACAGCTTGTTGGAGAGGAAGTCAAATAGAATATTTCATAGAGCCCAAAGTAAGGAAGATGAACATTTTTGCCTCGGGATTTCCAAAGAATAAATGTGAAATGTGTCTCCATTCTGTGGTCATGGCCAAAGTCTGCAGCCTAGCTCTGTCAGCCAGTCATACTTTCCTTCAAACGCTTTGGCAGGTACATTGTATAGAAACTACTGGAGAGAGATCCCTCATCACCAGAAATACCACGTAAGTGAAACCTTCGGGAAGCCTCTGCTATCTCTTTCAGACCACAAAGCTATTACTGAAGGCACAGCTAAAGCACTTAAAGGAATGTTTTGTTATTACCATATAACAGTCTTACAAGTAGGCCGAATCTCTTTCTGTTTAAATGTTATTTTGAAGGCATCAACCATTTCATTCCTTCCCCAGCAGTCCTTTGCTAGAGCCTGAAATCCCTTTAAATATCCGTTTTTGGGGGGTATGATATTATTGCATCTCTAAACGAGGGTCAACAAAACAGCTCTTTATCAGCCAGTAATGACTCAGCATGGTTTCTTTGATTAGAGAATCAGAATAACTCCCTTATCCATAGTTTTGCCTTCTGCAGTTTCAGTTACCCATGGGCATCTGCAGTCAGAAAATATTAAATGGAAAATTCCAGAAATAAACAATTCATAAGTTTTAAATTGCTTGCTGTTCTGAGTAGCATGATGAGATCTCACTCTGGACCACTGGGACGTGAATCCCCCCTTGGTCTAGTGGGTCCACCCTGTATACGCTACCCACCCACAAGTCATTTAGTAGCCATCTAGGTCAGTGGTTCCCAACCTTTTTAGCACCATGGTCCGATTTCGTGGAAGACAATTTTTCCACACAATAGGCTTCAAGCTCCTAGGAGAATCTAATGCCGCCACTGATCTGACAGGAGGTGGAGCTCAGGCAGTAATGCTCACTTGCCCGCCACTCACCTCCTGCTGTGCAGCCTGGTTCCTAACAGACCAGACTGGTACCGGTCTGTGACCCAGGGGGTTGGGGGCCCCGGTCTAGGTGATCTGATCTAAAAGATAGTGTATATAGGGTTCGATACTATCTGCGGTTTTCGGCATCTCCTGGAGATCTTGGAACATATTTCCGTGGATAATGGAGTCTGCTAAACCAAGGAAATGGGATACAATTAAGATATTTTGGTGGAGCTGGAGGCCAGTCCTGTACGGGGAACTAGAGTGGGAGGCAAGTACAGCCAAGAGTATTTTTTATGAAATACAATCTTTTAATATATAAAATCTATTTTAATTTAATATGTATATAATCTTGTTCAAATGTCAAAAATAGACAAATGAGTTTAGCAACTCAGACCTAAGCACAACACTCATCACAGGGTGTTGCTGTTTATTTCTTATATTATTATAGTTGTGATTATTTATTCTCTGCCTTCCCCTCCAATGAATAAGCTCCACGCAGGTTGGATTCCATTCATCGTGCTCACCTCTGCACCTGCTGCAGAGTGCACCTGCCACAAAGTAGGTGCTCAGTGGAATTCAATGAGTGACAGTAGAATGAATGGCAGCCTGGGCAAAAAAGAGAGCAAATATTCAAGAAGTGGGAGGAGTTGGGAGAAAGAAGTTGGTGGAAAGAGGGGCCCCAAGGTAGAATAACCTACTTTTGGGTTTCACCTACCTGGTATAAACATATGTATATATTATCCTGATTTTGTAAAGAAACAGTTTCTTTCTTTCCTCTATTTTTCCTACCATTCAACTTTTATAAGACAATTGAATTTTCTCTACAAAAAGCAAATAAATTACATTTACAGAGTAGAATTCAAAAGGTAAAGGTCAAAGAAAATATGAGGCTATTTAATAATGGTGGTTCTTAGCTTTTCTTTTAGATGTGTATCAGCATATATAAGTTTTTAAAATATTCCTCTTCTTTTCTTATTTTTTTACCTCAAAATTTTGTTATAGTAAGTATTTTAACAGTTTATTTCCTATGTGTCAATATTATAGGTATCAGTTTTTGGGGATTTTTTGTTTGTTTGTTTTGAGATGGAGTCTCTCTCTGTCACCCAGGCTGGCGTGCAATGGCAGAATCTTGGCTCACTGCAGCTTCTGCCTCCTGGATTCAAGTGATTCTCCTGCCTCAGCCTCCTGAGTAGGCAGGATTACAGGCGCCCACCACCACACCCGGCTAATTTTTGTATTTTTAGTAGAGACAGCGTTTCACCACATTGGTCAGGCTGGTCTCAAACTCCTGACCTCGTGATCCGCCTGCCTTGGCCTCCCAAAGTGCTGGGATTACAGGCATGAGCCACCACACCTGGCCTCTATCAGTTTTTTCTATACTTCAAATACTGTTTTTCTATAGCACATCTTTATTCCCTGCTATAATACCTGTCAAATGACTTGTGGGGAGGGGGGAGGTATGAGAAGGAAGCGACAACAGTTATCCCTGTCATTAATCACCCCTTCCCAAAATACAGACATTCATTTAATTAACAAATACTTATTAAATGCCTACTACTATATGCTCTGGCACCTGGGGACACAGCTGGGGACAAACAAAGTCCCTGAGAGCTAACATCCCAATCCACTTGCAGCTAGTTTTCTCAGGATTGAGATTTATTTCTTATATAAAAGCTTGCTGAAATATTGACAATTATTTACGGATAGTACAATTGGGTTTTATTTACATTTCACATTGCAGAGATTAAAACAATAAAACAAAACCCTGTCATCAGCATCACAGGCAGCAGTTGTTAGTCATCATGCACTGGATGGGAGATACTTTTTTTTCTTTTTTTTTTTTTTTTTTGAGACAGGGTCTCACTCTGTCACCCAGGCTGGAGTACAGTGGCATGATCACAGCTCACTGCAATCTCGGCCTCCTGGGCTCAAGTGATCTCCCCTCCTCAGCCTCCTAAGTAGCTGGGACACAGGTTGTGCCACCACACCCAGCTAATTTTTTTTCTTTTTCTTTCTTTGTAGAGATGGGGGGTCTCACTATGTTGCTGCAGCTGGTCTCAAACTCCTGGCTTCAAGTGAACCTCACACTTCAGCCTCCCAAAGTCCTGGGATTACAGGTGTGAGCCACCTCACCCGGCCAAGATATGCTTTCTAACCTAAAGATGAGTAAGAGCAGAGTTTGTAGTGAATCTCCAGAGCCTCGTGGTAGAGTGACTTGCAGTGCTGTTTCCAAGATGGGGGTGTTAAAGAGGACGCACCCCATGTACCAGTTCCCAGGATGCCATTCAGGGGAGAGAAGGAGATGTGGATGCCATTCCTTCTTTTACGTGCCTCACCCCTAGCCACAGAGTTTATCCTGAGGGCCGTAAGATCAGGGAAAAGAACTAGGTGTTCTGATTCCCTCATCTTCCCCCATTCCCACTCACAGCTTTCAACTGACTGGAAATATGAGATCTTCACATTTGTGCCTTAAATATTCCTGATCCCTCATGCCTAGGTTTGTGTTCCCCCAGAAGCAGACCCTGAGGAAAGGCTTTGAGTTCAAGAGGTTTATTTGGGAGTGATCTCAAGAAGCATGGCTGAGGGAGGGAAGAAATCAGGCAGGAAAGGCAGGGCAGCGAGTTCCCACGCTTGCGTCTGCTGCGGAGCCAGTGCATGGCACGCTCCGCAACCTAGTCCAGCCCGGTGGTTGAGGGAGCTAGATACTGGCACCCCAGGGAAGATGGTTTCCAAACGTGAGGCCCGCAGTTCCTCCCGGCCCTGTATGCATGGGCCTGCCATTCCTCCCGACGAGAAGTGGAGTCTATTTCTCCTCTATTCATACCCAGACTAGCCTGTGACATGCTTTTATCAGGAGAAGGCAGAAAATATCAGGAGAACGGATGCTAGGCCCATTCTGAGACATCTAGAAGCTTCCATTTCCATGCTGTCTGGGGAGGCCGCCGTCATCCTGTAAATAATCTGGACTCATGTACTAAAAAAATGAGACACCATGTAAAGAGAAAGAAGCCACAGGGGCCGGGCGTGGTGGCTAACACCTGTAATCCCAATACTTTGGGAGGCTGAGGCGAGTGGATCACCTGAGGTCGGGAGTTTGAGACCAGCCTAACCAACAGGGAGAAACCCTGTCTCTATTAAAAAAAAAAAACAAAATATTAGCTGGGCATGGTGGTGCATGCCTGTAATCCCAGCTACTCAGGAGGCTGAGGCAGGAGAATCACTTGAATGCAGGAGGCGGAGGTTGTGGTGAGCCGAGATCGCACCATTGCACTCCTGCCTGGGCAACAGGAGCAAAACTCTGTCTCAAAAAAAAAAAAAAAAAATAGAGAAAGAGGCCACAGGGAGGAACACCCAAGTGCCAGCCATGTGAAGGAAGCCTTCTTGGGCCCTCCAATCCTCTAGGGGCCAGCCGAATGCCATTGAGCACATGACCCAAGATCACAAAGACCTGAAGCCAGCTGAGCCCTGCCCAGATTTCTGACCTACAGAATCATGAGAAATACGAAACTGTTGTTGTTTTACAGAGTTACTGCACACATTATTTTTTAGGAAGCATGGATATCCAATACATACACCAATGGTCAGTCGTTGGCTGAGAGTTGCTCCCAGGGGTGTTAATTTCCTGGAAGTTCTGGCCTGCTTCATAGGTAGGCAAAGCAGCCTTCACACTACTCAGAGAAAGCCTCAGGCAGTGAAAGGAAGGTTCTCTGGCCCTTGGAGGGAGGGCTAGTGTGCACGCAACTGGCAAAGGCATGCGGATGCAGGTGGGACCCAGAGAGCCAGGGGTCTCCACTGCTTCTGATGTCAAAACGTGTTCCTTCCAATTGGCCAACTGCCCTCTCCATGTCCCAGGGCAGATTCCTGCTTCTCTAGAAACTGAAATATGGCTTCTCCCTACTCCTGATCCCTTGAGGCTTCGAATCTGCCCATTTTTTTCCTGAAACATTTAACACTTCTATGCCAGTCAGTTTAACAACAAATAAATTCTAACTCAGCATAAAATGTATGAGGTAATGTGGAATGTGTGTGTGTGCGTGTGTGTGTGTGCGTGTGTGTGTGTTGGAAAAGCACAGAATCAAATATATATATATCTATACAGTCTCTTTTCTCAAGCAGTTCAAAGTCTACAAAGAAACAAAAGCCAATCCAGAAGCAGTTACCATCCCGCACTGTTATCAAGATAAAGTCACCCCATAAATGTGTTGCTTCCTAGATAAATGTAATCCTCCATCTAAGACAGAGTGCCTGCTATTTTCCTTGTGTTTCTGTTTGTGGTGATGAGGTCACCCAGAGGACTCAGTCTCTCCCCTCGTTGCCCTGGTAATGAAAAGCATGTAATTAAAAGCTGGCTGGTGAGAGCAACGAATGTGATTCTGTGACCCAAGAACAGTTTTTTCCTAAGCAAAGCTCATTAGATCACATTAAATTCACAATAGGTTTAAATTCACAAAGTGTACACTGGAATGATCAGGAGCAGGGGGTTTTAGCCAGAGAATTCCCTAAACACAGAGCAGGTTTGGAACCTGCTCCTTTGAAAATGTGAGGAACCCGAGTTGAAGTCGGCTTTTCTAGCACTTAAGGCAGGAGTGGGGTGCAGGGGGCTCCTTGCAGGGGAGCCTGATTCTGAGGCTGGAAGCTGGGATGAGGGAGGGGTAAAGAGGGATGAGGGACCATTAGCTGTCTCTGCCGAGAGGATCTACAGTGAGGGACGTCTGGCAGATGACACAGTGGGGCTGGGCTGGAGATGACTTATTCCTGGATCACATTCGTGTTTAGATGATCAAGCCAAATCACAATTAGTTTAGTATTTTCTATCACCTAAACAGCTGCCTCAGGTCACCAGGCCAAAAGATGGGATATATGTGATTTTTTTTTTTAAGTTTCTGAAATACCAGGGCTTATTCATTCACTTCTGTTGCTGAGACAGTAGGCCTACCTCTTTTGTTGTAGTACAGATTGAACATTTCTAATCCAAAAATCCTAAATGCTCAAAACCCAAAACTTCATGGCTGCTGTTATGACACAAGTGGAAAATTCCACACTGGACCTCATGTGGCCAGCAGCAGTCAAAACACAAGTGCACCCCGCAAGGTTATCCAGCGTCCTTAAGGGAAAAATAAAATTACCTTCAGGCTTATGTGCATAAGGTGTATACGAAACATAAATGAATTTCCTGTTTAGTCTTGGGTCCCATCCCCAAGATATCTCATTATGCATATGCAAATATTCCAAAATCCAAAAAAATCCCAAAGTCAAATCCAGACGCTTTTGGTTCCAAGCATTTCGGATAAGGGATTCTCAACCTGAAACTGTTTTTAAAGAAAATTTCGAGGAGAAAAAAGCTGAGCAAATTCCACACTCCTTAAAAAAAAAAAAGGATCCAGACTTTTCTGTTTTGACCAGTTTGCTCTAATCACCCTCCTAAATTTTCCCGGAATGAACACCCTCAAGCAACCACTGGATTTTTCCTTCACCAGATGTTTGCCCAGAGGGCAAAAAGAAGAGTGACTAGTGAGCAGAGCAGATATTGCAGCCTGCTGTCTCCAACCCAGCGGCCGTAACTCAACTTTCAAAGGGACAACTGTGGACTCCTCATGGAAGTCTGCATAGAGTAAGATGGCTTCATATCTTCCTGGGTTTGAACCTGCTTGACTTTGAGCCAGCTATTTAAACTCTCTCAGCTTTCACGTTCTCACCTGAATAAAGGGATTGATAACAATACCTGCCTCACAGAGGTGTCGTCAAAGTACTTTGCATGGTGTCTGTGACATAGTGAACAGTCGTCTAGGATGACTAGTCAATGCATCTAGTCAATGCTAGCAGCTACTATCATTATTATTCGCACTCTACACAGCCAGTGTGGGGATTAATGGCATGATGTGCTTTGAGAGGGAAATTTCTCACTAAGCCTATTTTTTGTTTATTTGTTTGTTTAAGAGACAAGATCTCCCTCTGGAACCCGGGCTGGAATACAGTGGCACACTCATACCTCACTGCAGCCTTGAACTCCTGGGCTCAAGCGATTCTCCCACCTCAGCTTCCTGAACAGCTGGGAATACAGGCGCACCTCACCACACCCAGCTTCAGTCAGCCTGTTCTTGATGCCTGGAGTCCCTTATTAGAGAACTTCTCTGGTTTCCTAAATATTGTTCCTTATTTAAAATGCAACTTAGCACCTCCAGAAGTGTCTGTAGTGCTCTCTTGTCCCCATAAATGAGTTAGTTGTGTTCCAAGATGCATTCTACCATGGGCTGAGTGTCCTGGGTTTCTCAAGACGTATATTTCAATGTTAGGGCATATGTACACAGGCAGTTTTGGTAGGGCCCAACCTTCTTGTATATGTCAGTGCATAAGCATGGTGTGATACAGAGATGCTTAACCCGTGGGCCCCAAAACAGGGCATTAGGAGATCTGTGAGTCCCTCGATATTAGATGCAAAATTGCCTTGGTGCCCTTGTACCTCTTTGGAACCAGGAAATCCATAGCTTTTATTGGATTCTCAAAGGGCTCTATGGTTAAAGATTCATGATCATGGGAACAGCTACCTGGAACCAGCCCTCCACAGCCTCTTTCAGGTATGGTGGGTTTGCAAGGGGGCTTGGAGAGATCTTGAGGTGGTATTCCAGTCTGGGGGCAGGAAGGGATGGGTGGAGAGGCAAAGCGATGAGATCAGTGACAGTCAGATAAGCCCAAGGGCCCTGGGTGTCCTGGTGTGTCAGGGTGAGAGAGCAGACCCATACAGAGCCAAGCCAAACCCTGCTGACTCACAGCTTTCCTCTGGAAGCTGCCCTGCAGTGAGCGTGCAGACAGAGCTTCCAAGCAGCCCGAGAAGGAGCAAGAGCTTTCTCAGCAGGCAAGGGCGAGGCTGAGGCTGAGAGTGGAGCCTCTGGCCCTGGTGCAATCCTGAGCCTCAGGGGCACTGAGTTCTAGGCCCAGCTGCCATCTGATCTCGCACCAGTTCCTCCATCTACAAAGAAGGGGATTGAGGGGCTGACACTAGAGGTTCCTTAAAGTTTCTTCTGATTCGAAAAGAATGATTCTAATGATCCCATAAGCTTCCTCTTTGAGTATTTCTTACCCAGGAGGAAAATCTGACAGATTCAGGTTTTATGAAGCCTGAAGTGTATACAATTTGGGGATAGAGTTACCAGAGAAATTCCTGATGCCCAGTTAAATCTGAATTTCAGCCAAACAAATCAGAAAATGTTAATACATATATGTCCCAAATATCGCTCATGACATACTTATACTAAAAGGTTATTCACTGTTTACCTGATTTTCACATGTAACTGTGAGTCCTGAATTTTATTTGGTAACTCTGACAACTGTAGTTGGAATGAATTCTAAGTAAAAGAACATAAAATTAGGATTACAGAATTAAATACAAATGTGAAGGTTTATTGGAATGAGAAAAGTAATCACAGGAAGTCACCGGAGCTTTGAAGATTTAGGCCTGTTTCAGCAATTGGAACATTCTGCAACTCCTGGAACTCACAGGGATCCCCAGTAAGTGAGAGGCCTCAAGCCTCAGGTTTATAAGCATCACAGCCAATTCACATTTCCTGGGATGTTGGCGTCTTTTCTAAAGCCTTCTCTATTTATTACCCTAGTTTCATTGGTTCTCATGGCAGCCTCTCAAATTATACAATTGGGTATTTTTGTAACTCCATCTCTTCATCTCTTATTTTTTAGTCTTTTTTTTTATCTATTGGAGTTTGGATTTTTAGCTTTTCAATTTCATGGAAAAAACAGATTTTAAATAATATTTATGAAACAGTATAAGCCTTGCAGTTTAGACTATTTTAGAAACATCAGATTATATTAGTTATATGGGCAACTGGTAATTTTATTGTCTACATTTTATAAAGTCTAAAAAGAGAAACAAGGAATAATAAATTTTTCTTTCACTTAGAAACTGCTTTAGAGGAACATTTAATTTTGACTGTAGCCTGCAGATATGTCAAGATCTTTGTGTACATAAACACATATGCATATGTATATGTTCCTGAATGCTATGCAGGATTACCTTAAAGCATAACTAAGTCCTCCAAAATGATTGACCAGTAGGAAATCAGTCAAATTAGACAAAATTGTTCTGTCCTAAGCATATATTAAAATGTTTATGAGTAAAATGTATGTATATTTTAATTATCATAAATGAAGTATCCATGGAAGATATTTTGTTATCTTTCATTTTAAATTTGAACTAGTAGGTTCAATTTTTTTCTTATTGAAAGAAAGTATTCTTGAGCACTGTTACACAGATTTCACATTATTATAGCAGATAATGTTTTTGGCCTTGAAAATTCTTAATCTCTTCCTAATGATGGTAGCAATTGGCTTAAAATGTAATGTGATAGAAAATTAAAGTGACTATAAAAGAAAATAAAAGTAATTTAAGATGGAAGAAAAATGTAGAACAAGATAAGCAGAAAGAAATAGAGATGAAATACCAAGAAATTAAATCTATTTTGCAATTTTTGAAAAATGGCTTGAAATAAGTTGTATAATGTATTAGTGGATCCACAGTGGTAACTGAATAAACTAGTTCACTATTCTGGATATACCAGTTTAATAATGTCATAATTTGTGCAGCCATTTGCTTGCTTTTTCCCTCTAAAATATTTAAGGCACTCCACTTGGCTGTATGTGTATAAGCATGTAATGATGGCGGTGGTGGTGGTGCTGGAATGTATAGCTGTGTGTAAGCATGTAGTCATTGTGATGGCAGTGATGGTGTGTGTGTGTGCGTGTGTGTGTGTGGTAATTGTGGTAGGGCTGGTGAATACCATATAACTTCTCTAATTACTTCATGATATTCATCTTGCTTTTTATTGTACAAATTAATAATTATAATTAAGTATTACTAAGGCTTTCTTTTTCTGAAATATTTAACAAGGAGTAGAATTATATCATCTTTAATCTTTAAATTTGCCTTTCTTTTTGAAAAGGCGATTAATTAAATGCTCAGTAGATATTTATACTATCTTAAGGTTCCCAACTTTTCTTCGTGCTTTCAATTAGCTTATTTCTTGTATAGGTAATTATCTGGGCATCTTTTATGCATGCATATGGAATGTTTGTGATTTTTTGTTTTTAAACTGAGTATACAACTGCTGATGAAATTTTTATCCATGTATACAGCTTTAGCTAGGGGAAAGTAAGTAACAAATATTGCCTCACCAAAGTACTTCTCCTTATTGTCTGACCCAAAGATATTCTACAGCTTAAAGTTGCTGAAAACATCGGCCTCTTCTTTTAGGACTATAATCTCTTTACTTACTACGCTGCTAATATATTTGTTCTTTCTCTGAGTGTATCTGCCCCAAGTTTGGTTATTATTTAGTCAGCCACTTGTCATTGTATGAGGTCATTGCATTTTCAAAATTCTTCTTAATTACAGTTATTCAACTTTATGTATAGCAGATTTCTGGAAATCCTGTTCTCCAACTTTGCACAATAAATCCTAATATAAATTAGCTGCAGGAAATGATGCTTCACTGAAAGGCTTATACATATATATATATAGCTAAAGACAAGAATTGCGGGATACATTTTCCATCTTTTGGAAATATGCAAAAGTGTAATTTGAAGGTAACTATTTGCATGCACAAAGATACGCTGTTTCAATAATAGCTCAAAAATAATGCATTATACAGCATTTGAACACTAAAATGAACATTACATTTAGCAATAAGAGAAATCTATGTATTGGTCTTGAAAACATGCAAGGCTTTTATTGTTTGTTATGGGAGTTTTCAGATGCAAGAAGATGTTTTTGAATGGATAAAAGCTGCTTGAAGACGTAGTAAAGAATAGTTGAAGAATCTGACGGTTTTTGCCGCCATCAGATTGGTAAAATGTTAACATTGGACCGTTCCAAGTTTAAAAGGACTCTCCTACATTGCTGGTGGGAGTACAACTAGGACAGTTACTTTAGGGATAATCTGACAATACCAAATCAACTTGAAGATGCTCATATCCTAGAGCCCAGCCATTTTATTCCTAAAAAATATATGCCCTAGAGAAATTCTAGCCTACATGCACAAGGAGACAGAATGCTCATTACAGTTATTTTTGCTATTTTTAAATAGTAAAAAATGAAATGAATACTGAAATTAGATATATAAAGACATTTAGTGTATTCATATCATGGAATGTTATAGAGCAGTTAATACGAATAAACTACATGGATTACTATAGAGAAATATCAGAAATCTAATACCGAAGATGAAAAGTAGGTTACAGAGGCTCAGCTGAGTGTGATAGCATTTATATAAAATTTAAAGCGACAAAAACAGTATTGAGGGGGCACACAAGGACTTGCAGTTAAAGTGTTACAAATGTACAATGGGCCGGGTGCGGTGGCTCACGCCTGTAATCCCAGCACTGTGAAAGGCCGAGGCAGGCAGATCACAAAGTCAAGAGATTGAGACCATCCTGGCCAACATGGTAAAGCCCTGTCTCTACTAAAAATACAAAAATTAGCTGGGCGTGGCGGCGCACGCCTGTAGTCCCAGCTACTCGGGAACCTGAGGCAGGAGAATCACTTGAACCCAGGAGGCAGAGGTTGCAGTGAGCCGAGATCGTGCCACTGAACTCCAGCCTGGTGACCTGGCGACGGAGACTCTGTCTAAAAAAATAAAAATAAAAAAATACAAAGGAAATAAAAATATAAAATTAAAGGATGGTGGTTATTCCTGGGGAGGAGAGGGGGGACATGGAATCAGGTATATAGGGTATGTTGCCTGTGTCTCTAATATATAATTTCTTTTTTATAAAATAATACCTCAAAGGCAGTGGTCAGAGGGAAAAAAACTGAGATGTTCTCCTTACCATGAATGAATGTATGAATAATGAATGAATTAAAAAATAAATACAGATGAAAGCAGATGCTATTGATAAGAGACATGTAACTTCATTTCATATGCTTGATACAACACAGATAAAGATGAAGACTGCTAACCTTGCTAAAAATGATGATTCTTTATTCACTAGATTTAACCTGATGGACTGCTTTCAGTTGTGATGGAGACAACGAAAAAGAATGACAGGCTTGGAAGTATATCATCAAGCATTATATCTAAAAGGAAAGTAATATTATTAAGGATTTTTTAAGAATTTAATTTTTTGGCATGATATTTCTCTATTAATATAGAAGCCTGTGGTTTGATTTTATCATGTCTGATTTTCAGGCATGTTTTCAGGTAACCTTTACGTCAGGAAGATGCTACCTGCCAGCTCCCAAGAGTTATTTTATCACACATCTTAATAAATACAACAGAATGATGATCACACTCCCCTCCCCCGCCCCCAGCGCTATTTCTCCTCCTTTTTCCCTGCCTTGTCCTCTCACACTGCAGGTGCTCACCCAGGCATGCAAACTAGAATCTCCAGGCTGGGGCCCTACCCACCCTTCACCTGCCCCTGGGCTGCCAACCACAGTCTTCTTGCTGATATTTGCCCCGTGTAACGTCCACTGCTTCCACTGCTGCCTCCTTCAGGCACCAGCAGCACTGAATTGCTGACAGTAAAAGCCCCACTAGGCTGCCCACTAAGCCGTCATCCCGTGGCGCTGCACCCACTGCTTCTCCCCAGCTCCTCTGCATAGGTCTGCCCTTCACTCCCACGCAGAACACGTGGCTCACGAGATGTTCTGATGTGTTGACCCTCTTGTGCCTCTTGCTCTGTCACACTGTACTGTGTCATCTGTCCCTCCTCTCTACTGGACCTGCACTCCCTGAGGACAGGAACAACGTCCAAGGGCATCTTTGTCTCATGTATAATGCATTGCATGAAATCCAACTGGGCGCTGTGGTTCACGCTTGTAATTGCAGCACTTTGGGAGGCCAAGGCGGGCAGATCACTTGAGGTCAGGAGTTCAAGACCAGCCTGGCCAACATGGTGAAACCCCCATCTCTACTAAAAATACAAAACTTAGCCAGGTGTGGTGGTGCATGCCTGTAATCCCAGCTACTCGGGAGGCTGAGGCAGGAGAATTGCTTGAACCCAGGAGGCTGAGGTTGCAGTGAGCAGAGATAGTGCCAGTGTACTCTAGCCTGGGCAACAGAATGAGACTCTGTCAAAAAAAGAAAGAAAGAAAAGGAAGGAAGGAAGAGAAGAGAAGAGAAAAAAGAGCAAGAGAAAGACAGAGAAAGAGAGAGAGGGAGGCTGAGGCAGGAGAATTGCTTGAACCCAGGAGGCTGAGGTTGCAGTGAGCTGAGATAGTGCCACTGCACTCCAGCCTGGGCAACAGAATGAGACTGTCAAAAAAAGAAGAAAGAAAGAGAGAAAGAGAGGGAGAGAGAAAGAGGAAGGAAGAGAGAAACAGAGAGAAAGAGAGAGAAAGAAAAAGAAGGAAGGAAGGGGAAAAAAGAAAGGAAAGAACGAAAAAGAGAAAAAAAGAAAGAAAGAGAAAGGAAGGAAGGAAGGAAAGAAGGGAAGGAAAAAAAAGAGAAAGAAAAAGAAAGAAAGAAGAAAGAAAGAAAGAGAAATGCATAGTGGGTGCTCAATAAACTGAACTGGGAAGTGACTGATAATCCAGACTCAGTGCAAACTACTGAATTTTTTTAAAATGTTGTGCTACTGGCAAAATCCTTTAGTGATCAGATGCCCAGCCTGGTTCTAACTACATCCTCATTTTCTGTTGTCATTTTGACTCCCCATCATCTTCTGAAATCCCCTCTTTTTTCTCTCTCTTATCTACTGTCTACATTCATTTGAACTGAAATACTCATTTCCATGTATCTGGGCTGATAAAATAATTGCAGAGATTTTTCATGCAATTAACTCACAGAGTAGACTCTAAGTACGCTGTTGGATTTTCTATAGCACCACATACTGCTAAGTCTAATTTGCAACCATACAAATCCATGACATGTTGGAATTTAAGGAGGTTCATTAGCCTACAATATTTACTCTGCAAAAATGTTTGCTGGAATTGAAAAAGTAACCTCCCTCACTTCACAGAAATCACTGACTCCCTTTCTGTTGCTTCAGGGCAACCGCCAGATAAACTCCCCAACTTGCAATGTAAAAATCTGGAATGGTGGTTGCTTAGTCTTTTCTACACATTTACAAGGGGCTACAATGAGGCAGAGAGTAAATCACACATAGATGGAAGCTGTATGTCCCACACTGGAGCTTATATCGGTCACCATCTTCTTGCTGGGTCTTTCCCAAGAAATCTCTTTGGAAATGGGAAGTTATGTCTGGAATTCAGGTGGCAGAAGGCCACCTGTGTGCCTACTGTTTGGAAGTCAAGGATGGAGGAGGGTGCAGGAAAGCATATTGCATTGGCACCACCAAAATGATGCACTCTAACCTGAGGCCACACACACCACACACACACATGCTTCTACAGGATGTATGCCAATCCACTAGCCGCGTCGCCCACGCTCATTCGCAGGTCCTGAAAGCTAGCCCACCGTGAGGCCAGGAGGAGGTGTTTTAGAAGAGAATAAAAAACTAGGATCAGGCACTGATACGGGATGAAAAAGACGAACAGAGACTAATGATGAAATAGAATAAGGGCAGAGGAGAAGTGTGTTGAGTGTGTGGGCAGAAGCACTAGGAAGGGCAGGATTGTAGAGGCACATATGGTGTACAGGGGTCCTGACACAGCCGTGGCAAGGAGATGCTCAGAGCTTCTGTGGCCAGGACACGATCGTTGCCTAAAGAGAACAGCTGCGAGGGACATTGTTGACGGAGAGGGACAGAGCGGTCCTGCAGCTCTTTGGGATAGGGAAGTAATTCCTTCACTGGGGCAGTTCTTTGTACCTATGGGAAGTTCCGAGGTCAGTATTCTTGTTTAAGAATATATTGAGGTTATTGAGATTCCATATTATTACGGAAATAATAGTTGTGACATTTAGTACTTCTGTTAAAATAATAATCAAGTCTACATATAATAATATTTAAAAAGGTTTTATATGTACAAGTAAATTTTTTTAATCAAAGGAATTTTCTTCAAATTGGACTTTAAAATAAAAATGGAGAAATATGGGCATTAACTGCAAAGATATGAAGGACTAAAATTTCAAAATCTAAAAAAAAATCTTAATTTCACTTAATATTCTAGAATACACACATTCTGATCAGTTTCTGTCTACAAGAAAGTGGAATAGCTCTTGTTTTTTGTTTTTTTTTTAAATGGCGTGAGCCCGGGAGGCGGAGCTTGCAGCCAGCCGAGATCGAGCCACTGCACCCCAGCCTGGGATTAGTTTTTAAATGTTGATACAGGTATAATAAAAAGATCGGCTTTTTATTACAGTTCTGTAACTGCAGAATGGTTGATGGAACCTGCATGTCCATCACAATCAAGATGTGTTTTCTACTGGCTTTGATTGGGGGATAGCTGTGCGCAAAGCAGAGGCCCAGGCCCTGTAGACATCACAAGAGAAGACACACTTCTGACATGCACTTAATACCACAGTTCCCATTAAACCAGCGCACTGAACATAAAACAACCTGACCCAGAGTAACATTTTATTTTATTTTATTTTATTTTATTTTATTGAGTTACAGAGTCTCACTCTGTCACCCAGTTTGGAGTGCAGTGGTACAATCATAGCTCACTGCAGCCCTGATCTCCTGGGCTCAAGCGACCCTCCTGTAGCTGGGAGTACAGGTGCCTGCTACCATGCCTGGCTAATTTTAAATTTTGTTTTATTTTATTTTATTTTGTAAAATGGGGTCTCTCTATTTTGCCAGGGCTGGTCTTGAACTCCTGGGTTTTCCTCTCACCTTAGCTTGTAAAGTGCTGGATTACAGGTGTGAGCCACCACGCCCCGTCCTTTTTTTTAATTGGAAAGATAATTACAACAAATAACTATATACACGCATATAGAGAGAAGAGACGAGTTATCCATAAAGGCAGAATAAATAGGTTTGCCATTGGCATGTTCCTAAGACATTAATAGAGTAAGCTATATTTTCCCTAGACTGTTTATACTTGTGTCATAAACACGTATGTGTCACAATACTGTGAACCACTGCATCACACCCTCCAACACACTCACACACACACACACACATACACACACAGAGAGAGAGAGAGAGGGAGAGAGAGGGAGACAGAGAGAGAATGAGTCTGTTCTCATATAGTTGTTATATTAGCCACAAGGTTAATGATAGACTTCCATGATCGCATTATTCTTAATCTTCAGTGGACTGGGTAAGGGATATCCCTCCACTTCTGACATTTATTTGGCAAACAAAATCCAGCTGCTGTTCCATGATGCACCATTCCAGCGACTCGTCAAAACTCATCTCCAGAGCGAATTATGCCCCCAAGGAGTCGAGTGAGTCACACCTTCCTTCATCATTTATTATCAGCTCCTAGATTCCTTATTTAATTCCCAGAAAGTCCAGGCTTTTTGAAATAGAATGTTGCCTTGAAATAATCAATATGAGATTAAATTCAACTCATGAAGATTGTTCAACACAGAGACATTTGCAAAAGACGATGATTTTCACGTGGCCGGGTGTGGTGGCTCACGCGTGTAATCCCAGCACTTTGGGAGGCCAAGGCAGCGGATCACTTGAGGTCAGGAGTTCCAGACCAGCCTGGCCAACATGGAGAAACCCTGTCTCTACTAAGAATACAAAATAGCCAGGCATGGTGGCACATGCCTGCAATCCCAGCTACTTGGGAGGCTGAGGCAGGAGAATTGCTTAAACCCTGGAGGCAGAGGTTGCAGTGAGCCAGGATCGTGCCACTGCACTCTAGCCTGGGTGACAGAGAGAGACTCCATCTCCAAAAAAAAAAGAAAATGATTTTCACACAGCTGGAACATGTTTTTTTAAGAACATTCATAAAAGTAGTATCAAGAACTACTATTAGTAAGCTGTGTTCACAAAGAAAAATATTCCGCTATATCTGCACCTAAAGTCCTGTCCATACAAGATCCAAAAAACAAGACAGGAAGGGGAGGATGAGCTATCCAGTGGTTCTCAAATTGTGGGTGCCAAGATCCCCATAACATTTTCAGAGGCTCCTCAAGGTCAAAACTGTTTGATAAGAATGTCAATATGTTACTCTGCATTGTAAGTATCATTGTCCCACGAGTGTGTAGGGTGTAGTAAACATGAACTGTGACATCACAACCAGCTCAACTGACTGAATACAGAAACAGATATGAGAATCAAGCTCTCTTCTCTTAAGCCAGATATTAAAGAGATTGGTAAAAATGTAAAACAATGCCATTCTTCTTCCTCATTATTGTTGTTTGGGAAAATAAAATTGTTTTGCATAAAAATATGTCATCTACATTAAAATAATGGTTTATTACTGTTATTTTAAATGAATTAAATAATAATTGAAAAGATTTCTCAGCTTTAGGCTGGGCACGGTGGCTAATGTCTATAATCCCAGCACTTCGGGAGACCGAGGCAGGTGGATCACCTGAGGTCAGAAGTTCGAGACCAGCCTGGCCAACATGGTGAAATCCTGTCTCTGCTAAAAATACAAAAATTAGCTGGGTGTGGTGGCGGATGCCTGTAATTCCAGCAACTTGGGAGGCTGAGGCAGGAGAATTCTCGAACCCAGGAGGCAGAGGTTGCAGTGAGTTGAGATCATGCACTCCAGCCTAGGAGACAGAGTGAGACTCTGTCTCAAAAAAAAAAAAGGAAGGAAGGAAGGAAAGGAGGGAGGGAGAGAGAGAAGGAAGGAAGGAAGGAAGGAAGGAAGGAAGAAAATATTTCTTAGTTTTAATTTCGAATACAATAAATATTGATAGAAACAGCCTGCATATAACAAAGCTCTCGGGGGTCGTCAATTATTTTTAAGAATGTAGGTTTCCTGAGACCAAAAAGCCTGAGGATGGCTGAACTCTACAAATGGCTGAGTACATTTACTGTCAATTTGGAAGCATTCTCTCCTAAAAAATAGTGTTTCAAAAAAATGTTTTCTGTGACTCAGAGGGGAGTTTTCCATAGAGAAGCTTCTTGCCTGGCTATCAGTTGGCTGCACCTGAGCTAGTTTCCATCTGACCTTATCTCTAACATCCTCTATAGCTCCCTTCAGGCAAACAAAGTAGAAGGACTTGGTGGGGGCTCGGACCCAACAGCATATTATTCTTGGAAAAGACTTGCTCTGGGTCCTGGGCCTCCTCAAAGCTTAATCAGTTTAAGCCAGTGCTTCCAAAGAGGCCCACCTTCTCCACCTGCCTGTCTAAAATTCATCATATTTGAGCTTTTCTTGGACTACAAGCGGCCATTTGAAAATAAGTATCTTCTGATTGCATCGGAATTACCTGGGAGGTTTTTTAAATATGAAGGTTCCCAGGCCTCATACTAGACCTAAAGAATCAATAGCACAGAGCTGAAAGGAGCATGTCTGCTCTCTGTGACAAGCTCCCTCCATGACGCGTGATGCACACTGTCCCCAGAAGGCACAGTCTGTGCCTGGAGATCAAAGGAAGCTCGAGACCGGGGCAGCCCCCAGCACCTACCAGTGAAGTCAGGCCTCGGAGGGGGCCCAAGCATACAGGAGCCGGTGCAAGGAGAGGTGGGCCAGGTGCTCCAGGGCCTTGGAGAGTCTTTTCATTGGGAATAGTGACTAATAGAAGGTAAGAGGAAGAAAAGGGAGACCAAAACGGAAGAAATACCAGGTTAAGAAGGAGGTTCCAGACATGAGGGCCCAGGAGGGCTAAACTTTGAACATTTCACACCCCCAGTTTTGTTTAGAGCCAGCTCCAAGCCTTGATTTAGTGAAGACTCAATTTAGACTCTGAATTCAGTCCAAAAGGCCAGCTCTGATGAAGACTCCCCGGAAACATAAGCAGAGAAAAAAATAGATTTTTTTAAATTTTTTTTTAAATTTTGTGGGTACATAGTAGGTATATATATTTATGGGGTACATGAGATGCTTTGATACAACCATGCAATGTGAAATAAGCAGATCCAATTACATTCTTTAATAAACAATTATTATTGACTCTAGTCATCCTATTGTACTATCAAATAGTAGGTTTTATTTGTTCTTTTTTTTTTTTTTTTTTCATATGTGCCCATTAACCATCCCCACCTCCCGGCTACAGAGAAAATTTTAAAACCAGAAAGAGTGATCCTATAAATATGATCTAGAATGATTACATAAATAAGCATGAAAGTGGTCATGGAAAAAGTTAGAAGATCCAAAGTCAACCACATTTTCACCTACAAAGTATGTTTGGAGGAAGAAATTCTGTGTCTGCATGTTCTCCTGGCCAGGTGGTACAGGAAGCAGGGAGCCAGAGGGAGAAGGTTCTAGGCTCTAGGCCTGGCCATTCTGCCATTACCTATTGTGGGGTATCTTATAAAACAAACAAACAAACAAAAAACCTCATCCAGAAATAGCCTAAGAGTATGTATGCTTTACTCACTTTCTTTGCTGTTGGTGCCATGGATTAGTCAATGATGCTTTAATGCAAAATGGTGAGAGGTGACAGCGTGCTGGTAGTCCTCACAGCCCTTGCTCGCTCTCGGCGCCTCCTCTGCCTGGGCTCCCACTTTGGCGGCACTTGAGGAGCCCTTCAGCCCACCGCTGCACTGTGGGAGCCCCTTTCTGGGCTGGCCAAGGCCGGAGCCGGCTGGCTCCCTCAGCTTGCAGGGAGGTGTGTACCGAGAGGCGCGAGCGGGAACCCGGAGAGGAGCGAGCCAGAGAGGCGCGAGCGAGAGAGGCACGAGCGGGAACCCGGGCTGCGCGCCGCGCTTGCGGGCCAGCTGGAGTTCCGGGTGGGCGTGGTCTTGGCGGGCCCCACACTCGGAGCAGCCGGCCAGCCCTGCCGGCCCCGGGCATTGAGGGGCTTAGCACCTGGGCCAGCGGCTGCAGAGGGTGTACTGGGTCCCCCAGCAGTGTCAGCCCACCGGCACTGCGCTCGATTTCTCGCCGGGCCTTAGCTGCCTCCCCACGGGGCGGGGCTCGGGACCTGCAGTCCGCCATGCCTGAGCCTCCCACCCCCTCCGTGGGCTCTTGTGCGGCCCGAGCCTCCCCGATGAGCGCTGCCCCCTCCTCCAGGACGCCCAGTCCTCTTGACCACCCAAGGGCTGAGGAGTGCGGGCGCACAGCGTGGGACTGGCAGGCAGCTCCACCTGCAGCCCCGGTGCGGGATCCACTGGTGAAGCCAGCTGGGCTCCTGAGTCTGGTGGGGACGTGGAGAACCTTTATGGGTAGCTCAGGGATTGTAAATACACCAATCAGCACCCTGTGTCTAGCTCAGGGTTTGTGAATGCACCAATGGACACTGTATCTAGCTACTCTGGTGGGACCTTGGAGAACCTTTATGCCTAGCTCAGGGATTGTAAATACACCAATAGGCAGTCTGTATCTAGCTCAAGGTTTGTAAACACACCAATCAGCACCCTGTGTCTAGCTCAGGGTTTGTGAATGCACCAATCGACACTCTGTATCTAGCTACTCTGGTGGGGCCTTGGAGAACCTTTGTGTCCACACTCTGTATCTAGTTAATCTAGTGGCCACGTGGAGAATCTTTGTGTCTAGCTCAGGGATTGTAAATGCACCAATCAGCACCCTGTCAAAACAGACCACTCGGCTCTACCAATCAGCAGGATGTGGGTGGTGCCAGATAAGAGAATAAAAGCAGGCTGCCCCAGCCAGCAGTGGCAACCCGCTGAGGTCAAGCTTCGTTTTTTTTGCTTTTTACAATAAGTGTTGCTACTGCTCAGTCTTTGAGTCCACGCTACTTTTATGAGCTGTAACACTCACTACAAAGGTCTGCAGCTTCACTCTTGAAGCCAGCGAGACCACTGAGCTCACCGGGAGGAACAAACAACTCCGGACGCACTGTCTTAAGAGCTATAACACCGCCAAGGTCTGCATCTTCACTTCTGAGCCAGCGAGACCACGAACCCACCAGAAGGAAGAAACTCGGAACACATCTGAATATCAGAAGGAACAGACTCCAGACGCGCCACCTCAAGAGCTGTAACACTCACGGCGAGGGTCCGCGGCTTCATTCTTGAGGTCAGTGAGACCGAGAACCGACCAATTCCGGACACAATAGTTTAAAACAAGCAGGTTCTATATGCAAACCCTTCACCAATTTTTCAATTGCCCTTTAATTGCAAATTGTTTTCAAAGAAGGCTTTAACCTGGTGGCTCTTTCATTGGTTCCTTCTGTTCCTGAGCATCCTGTGAACATGTAGACCGTTCACATATTCATTTTTAAGCTAAAAATATTGAATTTCAGGAAAGGCCTAGCGAATTTGGGAAAATGTAAGTAAGGTAGAATCCAGTTTATGGGATAATTTTTGGATGCGAGAATACTTTTAAACCTTCACTTATGATTGTTATTGCACAAACGAGATTGGTCTGCCCTAGCAAGTCTCACCGAGGTTTTGCAACATATTTACAAGTACAAATCTGTGTGGCAAAGAGTACTTTTTGTACTATGGGCAGCTTTGATAACAAGCGGAGGTAGGAGGAACTCAATTTAGCCCTATCTGTAGTGCCTTCACAAAGAAAGCTCTTGCTCTTTGCCTTAACCTTCCCCACGTTCAATATAAGATAGAAAAAGGAAAGAAAGATTTACCTTGTACAGGCCTTTCAGAAGATAGACTGCGGAATTACAGAATGCCTAATGAGAAGCACAATTCTTTTCTCAGTGGTTTGTTGCTAAGAAGGATCCATTGTTCATTTTGTTGGAAGATATGAGATGCTTTTGACTACATCAGATCTATTTAATACATGACCTTTTCAGTGATTTCAGCAGTAGATACTCCTAAAGCATTATGAGACATCTTCCATAAACATTTTTTCTCCCCAAATCAGTTTTTAGAGTACTTTATGTATCTGTTACGACATCCCTAGTTTCATAAAAGTATATAATATCAGTGATCCAGCTGGTTAGAACCATCAGTACTTCACTTTTGATGAATTATTTTTTAGTCCCTTTCTATTCTTTTTATCCCCCACCTCAAAGGAACTTTCACATGATAGGTACTCAGCAGATGAAGGAATGCCCTGTATGGTAGCGTAGTTGAACATGACATGTCAATGAAGTATTTAAGATGATTCAGAGAGGTCTCTCTGGATGACATGCTCAAGGTAGGTGAGGTCCTTGGTATAACGGAGATCTCAACCTGTATCTAATGTGGTGAAGGGTAACACGGGACCATGGAGAGGGTAACACGGGACCATGGAGAGGGTAACACGGGACCATGGAGAGGGTAACATGGGACCGTGAGGCACCAAGAGGCAGACTGCACTCCATGACCCTGCTGCCTGTTGACATGCTGGGACAGGGAGGACCTAAAAACTCCATGTTCTCGGCTGGGCACGGTGGCTCACAGCTGTAATCCCAGCACTCTGGGAGGCCGAGGTGGGCAGATCACCTGAGGTCAGGAGCTCGAGACCAGCCTGGCCAACATGGTGAAATTCCCTCTCTACTAAAAATACAAAAATTAGCCAGGCGTGGTGGTGGGTGCCTTTAATCCCAGTTACTTGGGAGACTGAGGCATGAGAATGGTTTGAACCTGGGAGGTGAAGGTTGCAGTGAGCCGAGATCAAACCACCACACTCTAGCCTGGGTGACAGAGTGAGACTCTGTCTCAAAAGAAAAATGAAAACAAAAAACTCTCGAGATCACTCTAGAATTAGTTCTATTTTTTCCTGGATTTTTAACCTATAACATTGTTTTCTCTGAAATTTTATTTATTTCATTATATATTCATGTTTATATTTTATAGTTTTTTTCATCCAGGCATGAATGAACTAATTTATTCAACAGGTATATATATATATAAAATGTACCTACCATGCTATGAGATGGAAGGTCTGTTGATTTCGTTAACAACTAAAAGGTATATTTGATTCATGTGGTAGTCTAGACCCATGCTTGTATCTATGCATGAGCTATTTGTTTGTTCGCATATTTATTTAGTTTTAGTTGTCTGTATGGGAATTCATAATTGGCTTGAGGGCAGAAGCTGGTGTTCTGCTTACCTCTGTATCATAAGATCACGTAGATAGTAGGTGATTAATAAATGTTGAAATAACGTTAAACAAATTACACCAACTTTCTTAATGGAATTGAGACAAATTATAATTAAAAGGTTTATCCCATCAGTATCAAATTCAAAGTATCTGGGAAAATCTTGCAGAAGAAATCGGGAAAGATATTAAGATGTAGTTAGTGCAAATTTAGGCTATAAATTAGACTCTGAGCTTCCTGATAGCCAGAGTAGGAGGAAAATTTGCCAAGGTACATTGGAAACAGTGATAGGTCCTATATTTTTATTTTATTCTATTCTATTCTATTCTATTCTATTCTATTCTATTCTACCCTATTCTACCCTACCCTACCCTACCCTACCCTACCCTACCCTACCCTACCCTACCCTACCCTACCCTCCCCTCCCCTCCCCTCCTCTACTCTCTACTCTCCTCTACTCTCCTCTACTTTTGAGACAGAGTCTCACTCTGTCGCCCAGGCTAGAGTGCAATGGCACAGTCTCGGCTCAATGCAACCTCCGCCTCCTGGGTTCAAGTGATTCTCCTGCCTCAGCCTCCCAGTTAGCTGGGATTATGGGCACCCGCCACCGCGCCTGGCTAATTTTTGTATTTTTAGTAGAGACAGGGTTTCACCATGTTGTCCAGGCTGGTCTCAAACTCCTGACCTCATGATCCGCCTGCCTCAGCCTCCCATACTAATAGATTTTTATTATTATTTTACTACATTAGAGGCCTTTTCCATTTATAATTACATATTTTTTGGGATAATAAATATTGATTCCACAAATTACTTTTTTTTTTTGCATACACTGGGTACTTGTAGTAAAAAGGAAAGCATCGAATAATCTTATGAAAAAATAAAAGTTCATCTTTCTGAAAGTGAAACCTCCTTAGCCTTTTTAATTTAGAACTGATTAAATTCCTTCCCTGTTTGAGATTATAAACTTTACATATAAACTGTGCCTAAAGCAAACCAAAAGCCTACCCCAAACTCCTACCAATGAAAAATACGTAAGAAGAAGATCAAAATACCTGGAATGGTTGATTGACCCCTAGAGTAGATGTGGGCATTGTGTATAAGAAATTTTCCTCCAACAGTGATGTACAGTAACTTGAGAAAATACACCTAGAACCATTTATGAATTCTCAAATGAGGAAAATATCTAAACATTTCAATGAACAAAGAGCTTTGGTTGCTAATTAAGAACTGACAGTAGAGGTTTTTGATTTTTTTCTCCAAGATCATTTAATGTTCAGGTGATCCTAGGGAGGTCACAAACCTTGTGAAGCCTCAGTTTCTTAACCAGCAAAACGAGAATCATAATACCTGCCTCATAAGAAATCAATGCAGATCAATGAGATTATGTACATGGACAAAGTTTACAAATTATAAAGTTATAATTTTGGTCCTATAGATTCTAGCATTGACAGCAGTTAAACTTGAGTTGGGAAGTAGTCAATTTTTTGCAACCATGCATATATGATTAGTCAAATTCATGTAAGTATAACTAATTTCATCTGCTGCTGAGATCCACTTAATTTTTTTGCTCTGTAAATGGATACAATTTAAAAATGTATTGAGTTCAGTGGCTCAAATGAATCTGTATTGCCATTCTTACTACACAACTTGATTTTATATTTTAAAAGCTTGTCTTCTGTAAGAAGCATGAATTCACAGTGTCTCTCCATAGATTTAATACCTGTTTATGTACAATCATCATGCAGGATAGTCTTATGTGTGATGCAGTTCTTCTTTTTCCAGCATATTCTTTTCTTGGCATTATTTACACTTGGTCTGAATAAGCACATTTAGATAGCTTAATGGTACAAGTGATTACACCATGCTTTTGAGCTTTTATGAGGAAAATTGAAGTATATAATTATACTTTTGCACAAACTGGTTTGACTGTTCTCAAAACAAAACAAAAGAAAAACCCTGACTCTACTAATTTTTCAAATGGCTGCACCAGCATGTTTAGAAGCAATCAATCAGCAACAATCACATTTCAGATAAACCTCAAGGCTAAGATGTCACCAAGGCGAATAGGAGAAAATGATCGGCTCCAGTGGACGTGCAAAAACAAACTTTTTAAAGGAAAGCAAAGATCACAGAGTCCCCGATCCATTCCCTGGGGCTACACAGTGAAAGGATGGATGCTGGTGAGAGCTGGAGAAATGCTACAGAAGGAACCAAACTGTCCCTTCTGGTCTGCCAGGCTGGCACACAAACAGTGGAAGGGAGCAGTTGCCAAAGGAGCAGAGGCACAAGCTGGGACAGAGCATGAAGGGCTTGAGAGCGTCCAGTGGCAGGAAGACAGGGAAATAAGGAACTTCCTTATCCTGACAACATCTGAACCTCCCCCACCGCTATAGGGGGAGCAAGCCCAGCAGTCATGGTATCTGAACAACGCAGGCTGTGAACCTTGGCCAAGCCACTTTCCCTCCGGAGCACCTGCTGATCTCTTTTCTTGACAACTCCCTCTGTAAGGCAGGGGGTAGATGGCCCAACAATCTCCTGAGTCCTTGTCTCATTCCTTCATTCTCTTCCAGCTAGGGAGCAACTGCTGGGATTGCAAAGGTTTATTTATTTATGTATTTATTTATTTATTTTTGGTATTTCATTTTCTTTAATTGCTTGTGTCCAGCAAAAAAAAAAAAAAAAAAAAAAAACTCTATACTTCTATATGTAAAAAACCCTAAATATGGCTGGGAGCAGTGGCTCACGCCTGTAATCCCAGCACCTTGGGAGGCCGAGGTGGGTGGATCATAGTGAAACCCCCTCTCTGCTAAAAATACAAAAATTAGCCGGGTGTGGTGACACACACCTGTAATCCCAGCTACTCAGGAGGCTGAGGCAGGAGAATTGCTTGAACCCGGGAGGCGGAGGTTGCAGTGAGCCAAGATCGCACCACTGCACTCCAGCCTGGGCAACAGTGAAACTCGGTCTAAAAAAAAAAAAAACCTAAATATGGGATATCTGTTTCTGCATATACAAATAAAGTGTGTGACTTCTGGAGCCAGTTCCTTTCACGTGTATG
The DNA here is from genome assembly GCF_000001405.40 of Homo sapiens. Classification (NCBI taxonomy): domain Eukaryota; kingdom Metazoa; phylum Chordata; class Mammalia; order Primates; family Hominidae; genus Homo; species Homo sapiens. Next base: position 11,939,419 of record NC_000006.12, read on the forward strand.
AAGAGGGACAGAGATTAGTAATACTGCTTAAACGTGCTTACAGCCTAGTGCCAGGTGTACATATTCAGATTTTTTTATTTCTTAATTTGAGTAATGCCTTTTAAGCCACATTAGGTATTTCTTTGACAATAGCAAAAGGAAAAAAATATATATCATTTATGACGTTTCACAAAATCTCAGTCTCGCCATTTATAAAGTTCACAAGTTTACAAATGGCTAATAGAGATTCCCAAGAAATTACCTGATAATAAGAGTACTTACCTGTGACTCTTCAACAATATTCACTATTACAACAATATTCACTATTTTAAATTCCAGAAGTCATTGAAGTGCTAATTTTATAATAATACTCAGTCAAGGTATTTAGTAGCGTGGTGATAACAGTACTCGGGAATATCCTATTCATCCTCCTATTTCTTCCAGCCTCCTTGCAGTTAGACAGGGTCACATAACTGTTTCTGGCCAATGGATGTGAAAGGAAATGAAGTGTGTCACTTCCAGGCCAAGGCATGGAAAAACCTTGAGCAATTCTCTAGTTCTTTAAATCTGCAAGGTTGACAGAAGTCTATAAGATAATAGAGACTTTAGATTGAAGCAAGCTGCATTGCAAATCACTGCATTGGGCAGTGTTTCCCAGACCCATAGTGGACATTACCTGAGTGAGAAATAAGCTTTTACTGTATTTTTAAAAACCCTGAACTTTAGGAGCTGTTATTTACTGTAGCAAGCGTAGCCTGTTCTAATACAGAGAAGAATGGGTTTCAGTTTTGAGAGCTAACCAAAAATCTAGTTAGACTCTTAAACATTTCAACGTTTTAATTAAAGGCTTAGTAGCATGTATCAAGAACTGGAAGGCTTTTTCTACAAAGGACCAGAAAGTCAATATTTTAAGGTTGTGTAGGCCAGATAATCCCTCTCATAACTACTCCACTCTGCCATTACAGCATGCAAGCAGCCATGATAATTCATAAAGTAATGATCATGGGTATGCTTCAATTTTGTATTTATGAAAACGGGTAACAAGCAGAATTTGATGCACAGGCCACAGCTCACTTCCCCCTCTGATAGAGCATCACTGTTAAATGTAATAATCTTGGCCGGGCATGTAGGCTCATGCTTGTAATCCCAGCACTTTGGGAGGCCAAGGCAGGCAGATCAATTGAGGCCAGGAGTTTGGGACCAGCCTGGCCAACGTGGTGAAACCCTGTCTCTATTAAAAATACAAAAAATTGGCCGGGTGTGGTGGCAGGTGCCTGTAGTCCCAGCTACTGGGAAGGCTGAGGCAGGAGAACCACTTGAACCCGGGAGGCAGAGGTTGCAGTGAGACGAGATTGCGCCACTGCACTCCAGCCTGGGCAACAAGCGTGAAACTCTGTCTCAAAAAAAAAGTAGTAATCTTGAATACTTAGTGCTCTAGTTTCCCAGGGCTGCTGTAACAAAATGCCATTGGATTGCTTAAAACAACAAATATGTATACAATATATATTTATTATATTATTATATATTATATTTATAATAAATTATAATGTATTTATTAAATATATATAATAAATTATATTTATTATATTAATATATAATATAATATATTGATAATATAAATTATATAATATATAATACACACATACACATATATAAATATATGTATTTAATTTTTCTCATACTTCTAGAGGCTGTAAGTTCAAAATCAAGGTGTTGGCATAGTTGGTTCCTTCTGGGAATTTAGGGAGGCCGTGTGTTCCATGCCGCCAGCCTCACTTCTGATTGTTGCCAGCCACCCTTGGCTTGCGGCGTCATTACCCCAAACTCTGTTTCCGTGGCCGCCTTCTCCCTGTGTCTCTCCCTTCTTCTTTACAAGGATACCACTCATGTTGCATTAAGGGTCCACCTTTTTCTCCAGGATGATTCATCTTAACTAATTATATCTGCAACAACCCTATTTTGAAGTAAGGTCATATTCTGAGGTACTGTGGGTTAGGAGTACCCCAGTACTCCTATTTGTTGAACAACAAATCATTTTGGGGTACACAATTCAATAATGCTTGGCTTTTTAAAAAACATAAACATAATTAGTAAATGGACAACAATGCGAGTGAATTTTTTTTTTTTATTTCAATAGCTTTTGGGGTATGTGTGGGTTTTTTTGTTACGTGGATGAATTACATAGTGGTAAATTCTGAGATTTTAATGCACCAGTAACCCAAATAGTGTACATTGTATCTAATGTGCAGTTTTTATCCCTAGCCCCCCTTCCAGCCTCCCCCTTCTGAATGTCTAAAGTCCGTTACATCACTCTGTATGCCTTTGCGTACTCACAGCTAAGCTCCCACTTACAGGTGAGAACATACGGTTTTCGGTTTTCAACTCCTCTGTTACGCAAGTGAATTTTAAATGAGATCATGTGCCTTGGCTTTGTTCAGAGAGGTCAGTTCAATTACCTTGATGACAAGATTGAATTGTTCAGGTATCTAAGAGCAATGGAAAGAAAAACTGAGTTCATAAGTAAAATAACACATAGGACTTGGTAATGCACATTTACAATTCAGTATTATTGTTCAGGCTTCTATCTTTTCTAAATCATCGATTGATGCTTTAGATGAGAAAATTAAATTTGATTTACATATTTTATTTCTTAAGACTTATTAAAGCATGGGACTAATGAAATGATTATTTCTTAGAATCTGAATGCAGGCATCTATAACAATTTTTGGAAAAATACTCCACGATTTTCTTGGCAGGTTTTGGAACCTTGAAATGTGAAAAAGCAGCACACAGGTGCGCATTAAACAGGTGCTTTAGACAGTACGTATGAGTAGTTCAGAGGAAGGAGAGAGCACCAGGGCCAGTAGGGCTCCTACCTGGAGGAGGAGGCACCTGAGCTGTGCTCAGAAGGTGGCCAGTATTTGGATAGTCTAGCTAGAGAGCATCTGATATGAGCAAAGGCAGGAAATGACACGTTTGTAGGGAGGATCAGAGATAGCAGGAACATATAGGAGAAAACAGGAGTTATTATTGCTGAGTGGTTGAAACTGATATGAAAGACCTTGAATGTCAGCCTAAGAAGAGTTCAGATATTACACAGGTGAACAAGAGGTTTCTGAGCAAATAATACGATCAAAGCTGTGTGGCACCCTATACAAGATAAAAGAGGCAATGGATTGATGAGGGCTTATTACAATAGTCTAGTCATCACAAAAAGAGGTGCTGAGCAACATGACAGAGTGATGGGGTAGCATTAAATGAGTAGGATTGGATCAAAAGAAGTTTGATGATCTTGGTGACTGGAGTTATGAGACAGGGAAAATCATGAAGGAGAAAAAGATAACCCAATGTAGCAACAAGAGTGAGGGAGAAGAGGAAGAAGGCAGACATAAATACAAGGAAGGATCACAGGTCAAATTCCAGCTAATTACAATTAGAGTGAAGACTAATTCATCAATTCTATTTGAATTCGTCAAGATAGAATAAGGGGCCAGGCGCAGTGGCTCACTCCTGTTAATCTCAGCACTTTGGGAGACCGAGGCAGGCAGATCACCTGAGCTCAGGAGTTCAAGACCAGCCTGGCCAACATGGTGAAACCCCGTCTCCACTAAAAATGCAAAAATTAGCTGAGCATGGTGGCGGGTGCTTGTAATCCCAGCTACTCTGGAGGCTGGGGTAGGAGAATCTCTTGAACCCAGGAGGCAGAGTTTGCAGTGAGCCAAGATCGCGCCACTGCACTCCTGCCTGGACAAGAGCAAAAGTTCATCTCAAAAGAAAAAAAAAAGGATAAGGTATCCATGGTTACAAATAAACACCCATATTTCAATAGCTTAACACAACCAAGATTTATTATGTGTTCATGCTGTATATCCAGTGCTTATTAGACGGGAACTCGTTTCCACTGATTCATTCAGGTGGATCCAGGATAACGGGTATTGCACCATGTTGTGATGCTGCCACCTCAACATGGAGCTGTATGAGAGGAAGAAAGAGCATGTGCCACTCACATCACTCTTAACTGCATCTAGCCCATTTGCCAGAACTAGTCACATAGCCCCAACCCAATTGCAAGAGAGGTAATTGGAAAATTGGTAATTTTAAAAGGTAGGGGAAGCTCATGAACTATCTGGTCAGTTAGACCTGACCTGGGGAAAGAAGAGAAATTAAAAATGGGTTGAGTAATCAGATATGAACTAAGGAAGGAGGAAAAGTTTCAAATTGTTTGAAATCTTGGCATTTTGACATCACATTGTCCTGGACTTTCTTCCCTCTGGAAGAGACAAAGGACTCATTATCTGAGAGAGAAGCCAATAGTTCTAGGACATGCTGATACTTTACCAAGGTGCAGGAAGACATGGACCCACACAGCAAGGTTTGCAGAAGCAGTGGTGAAAAAAAAAAGTTTATTTTTCCTTGCACTCTGTAAAATCTATCTCATTCAATAAGCCTATACATGTAAATATCTCTGTGACACTAATACATAAGTCATAGGTTGGTAAATATGATTTACATTGTAAATAAAAATTCTAATATAATATTGAATCCTTGTTAATTATTTTCATTGGTGATTGATTTGATGGGTGATTATGTTTTTAGGAATTTAAAGTGTGTGTAATCAGATATCCATTAATTAAAACTATTTAAGTGAGTGCCTATATTTGAGTATCCACAGTACCCTACCAAAAATCTTTACGCTACTTTTTCAAGCCTTTTACATATGAGAGAAAGAAGCAGACAAATAACTAATCTTAAGACAGTGTGACAAGTGCTATAAAAGGAATGTAAATAGTAATATTAGATCAGAGAGTAAAGGTACATTACCTCCCCTCCGTGGAAAGATCCAGAAGGCCTCCCTAGAAGGTGATACTTAATCTAATGTTTGATGTTTTTATTTAACCATTAACCAGAATGGGTTGAAAAAGGGTGAAGGTTATTCTTGGAAGCAAAGCTATTTAACCCAAAGTCATGCAACAGAAGAACCCAACTTCTCAGAGAGCTGTAAATATCCAGCTTGGTAAGAGTATTAGGTAATATTCAGTGGTGATGGGGAATGAGACTGGAGGTACTCAGAACATAGATTGGAAATAGACCTGTGTGACATGTTAAGGAAACTGGAGAATGTTTTAAGCCATTGAGAGTAAAATAAAAGGATTATTGCTCTTATGTTTATATATATGTTTTAAAAATAGTATAATATTTTGTAAAAACCTTTTATATTGTCACTATCCAGAGAGAATTACTAAATATATTCTGGAGTATTTTCTTCCATTATTTACATATTTATACACTTTTTATCCTACTTCAATTTTCATATTCTACATTTTTACTTACTATTATACTGTATCTTCCAGCATCATTGAATAATTTCTGACAACATGATTTCTAATGAGTGACCAATATTACAACAAATGACTCTATTAATTTTGTTTAACCTTTCCTTTACTGCTAACAATTGGGTTGTTCCAAATGCTTTGCATAAGCATCCATGTATAAAAATCTTTTTAATTAAAAGTGCATTTTTATGCCTTTAAGATAGAGTTCAGGCTGGGTGCGGTGGCTCATGCCTGTAATCCTAGCACTTTGGGAGGCTAAGGTGGGAGGATCACTTGAGCCCAGAAGTTAGAGACCAGCCTGGGCAACGTGGCAAACCTGATCTCTACAAAAAAATAAAAAGAGCAAAATTAGCCAGATGTGGTGGAGTACGCCTGTAGTCCCGGCTACTCAGGAGGCTGAGGTGGGAGAATCACCTGAGCCCAGGGGGAGTTTGAGGCTACAGTGAGCTATGATTGCACGACTGCACTCCAGCCTAAATGACAGAGTGAGACCCTGTCTCAAAAAAAGAAGAAACAAAGAAAGAAAGAGTTCATAAATTGAATTGCTATGTCAGAATGAGTAAATTCTTTTGAGACTATGTTTTACTAATATCTAAATTTAATTCCACAAAAATTTTGCTTATTTACACCTTTCTGTCTTGCCTCAGTAGCAGTGTAAATATTCTATTTCTTTATAGGTTTATCAGTGAGACAAATTATTTGCTTTTATTAGAAAAGCTTGTTAGATTTTTTAATAAACTAAGTTTTTAATGGACATTTTAAGAGATAATCTTTGTTAAATAAAATTTGATTTTTTAAATAAAAGAATTTTTAAATCAAAGTCCAGTGAAAAAATGTTGAGGAGTATATACAAATGCAAGGAAGAAAAATTAAATAATTTCAATTCTATTTCCTATAACTAAGGACTGGCAACATATTGGTATTTAGCCCTCTAGTCTTTAAACTGTCTCTCATTAAATACGTTTAACAAAATTGAGACCTACTGGTTGTAAGTATATATTTTGCCTTTTTCATATACTGTAGAGCAAGTGTTGTATGAGATCATTAATTAGTCTTCAAAATATGGCTTGTAAGGGCTGCATAACATCTTATATGAATGGGCCGTTTTAAATAACCATTCCTGTATTATCGGCTAGTTGGTTTCGTTCTAATTTTTCATCTTCACATTAACATCTTTGTGCATGCTTCTCATGAATTCCTTGAGATAAATTGCCAAAATGGAAATGTTGAGTAAAAAGATTTGAACATGTTTTATGACTTTTAATTCATTTTGTAAAATGGCTTTTCAAAAAAATACTCATGAGTGGAATGAGAGGTATTGTTTCACAACATTCAGATCTTATTCATATTTTAAATTTTCCTATTTGACATGTAACAATTTTTAATTCTAATTTTATTATATATAATATTTAATAGCATTTTAGGTCTTTCTGAGCAATGTTTATTTGGTCATATTTTGAGGATTTAGTGCCTTTTTTTTTTTTTTTTTTGCTGTTCAAAGTCTTTCTCAAGACCACTAAGATTATTAACCATTTATCTGTAATAATTATTCACAGTGCTTGTTTACCCTGTATTTCAAACTGCTGAGTTATTGGATTTTACTTGTGTCTAAGTTGGCTATCATATATCTTTCAGTAAATTTTTTAGGAAGCGTACAGGGGTACTTTCTGAGCCTTTACACATATACAATATCCCTTCTGTTGCTATCACACGTGAATAACACTTTGCAGGATACAGAATTCTTACACTGCAATCTTTTCCTTCACAAATGTATAACTATTGTTGTTTGATATACAGAATAGTGGAGACAAAGTCTGAGGCTAGCCTTTGTATGTGTGATGGTTAATTTTATGTGTCAACTTGACTAGGCCACAGGGTATCCATTTATTTGGTCAACTCTTATTCTGGGTGTTTCTGTGAGGGTAGTTTTGGATGCACTTAACATTTAAATCACTAAATTGACTTGTTGCAAAATGTTCACTTCCTTTTGTGGATGAGCCTTATCCAATCACTTGATGGCCTGATTGGAACCCTCAAAATTTCCCTGAGTAATGGAGAGAATTCCTCCTGTGTGGTGGCCTCTAAACTGAGACATTGGTTTTTTCCTGCCTTTGGACTTGAACTAAAGTATCATCTCTTCCTGGGACTCACACCTACCAGCCTTCAGTTCATACTGGAACTTAAACCATTGGCTCTCCTGATTCTCCAGCCCACTGACTCAATTCCTTATAATAAATCTCTTTATACACACACACACACACACACACACACACACACACACTCACATCCTATTGAGAACTCTGAGATAGTATGTTACCATTACCTAGGTTTTTTCTTCTGCTTTCATGCCTATATAATTTATTTTCTTTATCTGTGAAATTAAAAAAATTTACTATTACCTAGGAATGGATTGCTTATAATCATTTTATTTGGAACTCAGAATGGTTTGAATGGGTGGGAAGTTGCAGGACCTCCTGCGTGAAAGCTGTTCTCTATGTGGAGTGCAGTGAGGGAGGTCATCCACTAGGAGAAAGGAGGTACTAAATTCTGTGACTTGATGCTGTGCCTTTAGAGTTCTCATCTCTGTTCTCTGTTCCTGTCAACCCAATTGTGTTGTTTACAATGCTACTTTTCTAGCTTAGTATTGGCCTTCCACTGCTTTGATTCAGATGTGGTCTAGGTCCAGCTCTCTAATCTGAACCCCTTGCCTTTTGCGTTTAGCAATCATTTTCCATATATACTCATGTGCTGCATAACAATGCTTTGATCAATGACAGACCACATATATGACTATTGTCTCATAAGATTATAATGGAGCTAAGAAATTCCTATCACCCAGTGACATCATAGCCATTATAATGTCATAACACAACACATTATTTCTATGTTTAGTATGTTTTGATGCACATATGCTTAACACTGATTACAATTGCCTAGCCTATTCAGTATAGCAACATATTGTACAACATCTTTGTAGCCCAGGAGAAATAAGCTGTACCATCTAGCCTAGGTGTGTAGTAGGCTTGTACCATCTAGACTTATGTAAATACACTCTATGATGTTTGCACAATGACAGAATTGCCCAATGGCATATTTCTTAGAACATATTCCCTTTGGTTAAGTGACACATGACTGTTTTTATGGCTTTTTTACCCAGACTTGGATTTGAGCACGAGAATTACCTTGTATGCACCTTTCACTTAGTAGGCTATTAGTTATTTTTGTTCTCCGGTTTAAATTAAAAATAAATTGTTATATACATATATGTATATATACACATAATACAGTATTATTCAGCCTTAAAGAAAAGATAGAAATCCTGCCATTTGGAACAACATGGATGAACATGAAGGACATTATTACTTTAAGTGAAATAAGCTAGACACAGAAAGACAAATACTGCACGGTTTCAGTTATATATGGAATCTAAAGGAAGTCAAATTCATAAAAGCAGAGTAAAATGTTGGTTGCCAAGAACTGGGGGTTGGGACAAATGTGGCGATGTTGGTCAAAGGGTGTTAAGATTTTGTTATGCACAATAAGTAAGTACTGGGAAATCTAATAGTGCACAGCATGGTGACTATAGTTAATAATAATGTATTGTATATCTGAAATGTCCTAAGAGAGTTCATCTTTAGTGTTCTCAACACACACACACAAAAACATAGCTATGTGAGATGATGAATATGTTCATTAGTTTGATTGTCGTAATCATTTCACAATGTATATGTATACCAAAACATCATGTTGTACATCTTAAATATACACAATTTTTATTTTTCAAGTATACTTTAATCAAGCTGGAAAAAAATAAATTGAAATGGCTATCAAATTTTCTCTCACTGCAAAAACACACAGTTACATATTTTTAGATCTCCAACTCCTTTGGATCACTATTGATAATAATCAAATTGCTGTCTCAGGCTGGCCATCAGGCTTTGTCCTTTTAAAAAACTGTATATATGCAGATAGGTATATAGAATTGTCATAGGCAAAGAGACAAAATTGCACAAAAATAAAAATCTTATTGAAAAATGTACCTATCCTAATGCAAATGTTTTCCAAGTGATTTTGTCAGAGATGTAAGAGAGAACACAAGTGGTTCAATGCTACTAAAATTCCGTAGTTGAAGATTTCTGTATAATTGCCTACAGCTTCATTCAACAATAAATATTTAGTAAGACCTACTATGTGTCAGGCACTGTGGCATGTGAGACTTATCAGTGGTCATATCCATACAGATTTTTGAATTTATGCCGCCAAAGCCTGCTACCTGCATAATACACAATGAAAACCACATATTGCTGAATGTAATTTAGTATTCTATCATTCACAATAAAATTACTGCTTTACACAGATGATATTATGCTTCATAATTACTAGAGACTTGAGTGGCTACAATCAATGTAACTGTTACATATTCAAAACACATTTTGTAGCTTATCGCTTCTCATTGTTAGGGTTGTTTTTGTAACTCATATCTCTTATGTTCTGCACAGTGTAATCCATACATAGGTATGTGCACACATCTATACATAGCCGCATTCCCTGAAAAATAACTTGGAGTCCTACATAACTCTATAGAGAATTCTGGGAGCTCCTGTTTACACACAATGCCCTATGTTCCAGGAATGTTGGTTCTTATGGTTCTTCATATTTACTGAGCTTATTTTCTTCTATCCAATTTCCACCTCACTCCTGAGGCTGTTAGGCAGCACCTAGCTGTTTCCCACCCATTTACTTTTATTCATGCATCAGTTACTCAACCAGTCAGTAACAAATATTTCCCACAAGCCGTGGACCACAGAACTGGATCTAGAGACACGTACAAGGCTTAATCTTCGCTCACAAGAACATCATTGTTCAGTACCATCCAGGAAGGCTGTTCTCTTGTGTGCTGGATGCCATGGCCTGAATGTTGGTGTCCCTGCAAAATTGCTGTGCTGAAATCCAACTCCTAAGGTGATAGCATTAAGAGGTGGGGTCTTTGTGGGGAGTGATTAGGTCATGAGGGCTCTGCCCTCATTCATGGCATCAATGCCCGTGTAAAAGAGGCCTGAGAGAACCTATTTGTCTCTTCCACCATGTGAGCACACATAGAGGGCACCATCTATGAGGACTGGGCCCTCGCCAGACACTGAATCTGCCGGCACCTTGATCTTGAACTTCTCAGCCTCCAGAACTGTGAGGACTACATTTCTGTTGTTTATAAATTGTCCAGCCCAAATAAAGTATTTTCTTATAGCAGCCCAAACAGACCAAGACACTGGATATCAATGGGCCTGAAGCAATGGATGATCCAATCACTGAAAAATTGCCTTAGACATCGATAGCAATAACTCTATGCTGTAAAGAGAGAGGAGACAGTTAATAATGGATTTTTAATTGCTGGAATCTGAGCCTTAGGAGACAGAAGAAGAAAAGAGTATAAAAGAAGGCAGCTGGTCTTGTGCTTGGGGAAAGAAAAGGAGAAAAAAAATCTGTCATTGCGGAAACACTTCTACAAGGTAAAGCAGTCTCTTAATCCTGAGGCTGGAACTCAAAAATAAAGACAAAACATTGAGCAATACCTCAACACTCTCGTCATTCCTGTTAATAGGCTTATAATAAATCCAGCTGGACCAGCCCAAAGATTATTCTTCCAGAAAGAGCAGAGCAGAGCTGCACATGGAAATAAGCCCTCTATCTTCTGATACCTCAGTCTCCACATCACTCTAAAATTAGCCTTTAAGTCCTTCCTGTAAAAGTGGTATGATTTCCATGATAACAAATGATAAAACAATCCACCTTTGTAAAAACAACAACAACCAAAAACAATTACAACCACCATTTTGTTAGCCTTTCATTAAAAATTTGAATTTAAGAGACTTAAAGCCAGAACAATGCTGAGAGCCTACTTGTACTCTAGTGGAAACTTGTTGGTAACAGACCCTTATTTGATATTTCAAGTAAAATGTAGCTTGAAATCAAGCTGAGGGGAGACACTACAAAAGCAAAAGTCAGAAAGCTTGGAGCTTCATGGTTCCAAAAGCCAACTCAGCCTGCATCACAGTTTGGTCCTTACACTATGAACTGTGAATTGTGTATGGACATGTAGAAGCTGGGTCAGAAATATTTTAAATCACAAGTTCTGGCTGCTTATTGGAAATATTGCTAAAGAAGTTGTATTCATCTGCTCAAGTAGTCACACCAAAATACCGTAGACTGTGTGGCTTAAGAGAAACTTATTTCTCACTATTCTGGAGGCTGAAAGTATAAGATCAAGGTTCTGGCTGATTCAGTTTCTGGTGAGGGCTCTCTTCCTGGCTTGCAAGTGGCCATCTTCTTACTGAGTTCTCACATGGCAGAGACAGAGAAATAAGTCTTTCTATTCCTCTTCTTAAAAGGCTACCAATCCTATCAGACTAGGGCCCCACCCTTATAACCACATTTAACCTTCATTACCTCCTAAAAGCCCTATCTCCAAATACAGTCACACTGGGGTCTAGGGCTTCAACCTATGAATTTGAGTTGGGGGGACATATATCAAGACTGACTACTCGTAGATTATTTTAGCCCTGCATGTTTAATCATATTTGTAGATAGCACTGTTGAAAAATACAGAAAAATTATGATAATGAGTTACATTTTACTTGAAATAGCTTAGAATCTTAGCAAGTCCTTTTTGATATAAATTGTGGAGGGGTCAGTCACTTAGGTCTATTTCAGAGAGAAACTTTCTAAGAAATTCTCTAAATAAGATTCTTTGGTAACAAAGTAAAATGTTACCTGACTTCTCATCCCAGTATCTCAATTTTTTCCTAGGGCAAAATCTTTTTCCCTTGAAGACTGGAAATATTATCCATGTTGTCCTCCGGAATATTTTCAATGACTTGTGCCCTGCCAGCTCTAGCTTTTGAAGGGTCTACACTCATCATCAACAGGTAGACTGGTTTTTACAAATGTTTTTACCATAACTTCATTTCCTGTTTCAAATGTGAAATGGATCAAAAATGAGAAGAGTAGTGACATAGTAAAATTGATAGGACCCATTTCAGAATGTCATTTAGACACTCTGGGAACTATTCTTTTCTCACCATGAGGCCACTTGATGTTAATGTGAGTCGTGGGAACAATTTAAGCATTCAAAATCCTTGTAAATTTAAAGAGAAACTTTCTCATCTTAACACATTTGAAAAGAGAAAACACATAAAATATAATCGATTTGGAGTATAATTTTAAGTTCAATTATTATTGCAAACATATGTGTATAAATCAGTTCTTCACAACCCTCCACAATTCCCCTTGGTGCATTCCTCAAAATAACAGCATCTGGGGTTTTTGTTTTGTTTTGTTTTTGCTTTTGTTTTTGTCTCAAGCTCGCTTGTATTGTTATAAACATTTTTACTTTGTTGGACTGAAAGAAAGAAAACATCCTCTGAGAACTATTTTTGTCGTTGACAAATAAGAAAAGGGATTCAGTAAAGTAACAACCATAAAAAATCAGTATATTTTCTAAAAAAGATTTATTATAATGTCTTCTGCAATATGAAGACCCCTTTTAGAGTGTACTACTTATGCTGTGGTAAGAAGGTTTATTTTGTAATTAAGCAGCAAACCCTTCAATGTTTTGTGAGGTGGCAATTTTATAGATCTCCTTTTCAATCAAACAACTCAGAAATAATTTCTAGTTCTTTAAGACACACAAAGCAAGATCATATTTTCCACATTTTGATGTTTATAAATATCTTGAATCAGGATAAAAATTCATGACTAACTCATATCCCCAGAGTGTAGTCTTGGTTACAATAATACCACATACTCATCTCCACTTAAATATTTCATTATAGATGACGTGAAGTTAAAAATATATCAAATGCAAAAGGATGGAGAAAAAATTCGGAAGGGTAACTATGCAAGTCTGAAACTGGGGAGAAGTATTTGATTTGAAGAAGATGAGGATTATCTGTGAGATGACTGTAGATGCATGAAATCTTTTTAACTTTCCTTGGAAATAGCTAGGCTCTTCTACCAGCTTTCAGAGCTCCTAAAACTCAAGGCAATGATCCAATTTACCATTTCCTAGGTCTTGTTCTAGCCAAGACAAAAGAAAAAAAAATGTGTCTAGAACATGAATTAAGATTTAGGAATTTGGCTGGGTGCAGTGGCTCACACCTGTAATCCCAGCACTTTGGGAGGCCAAGGCGGGTGGATCACCTGAGGTCTGGAGTTCAAGACCAGACTGGCCAACATGGCAGAAACACCATCTCTACTGAAAAATACAAAAACTTAGCCAGGCATGGTGGCTGGCGCCTGTAATCCCAGCTACTCAGGAGGCTGAGGCCAGGAGAATTGCTTGAACCCAGGGGATGGAGGTTGCAGGGAGCCGAGCTCATGCCACTGCACTCCAGCCTGGGTGACAGAGTGAGATTCCATCTCAAAAAAAAAAATTAGGAATAACAAATTATAAATATAGTAAAATAGAATTGCTGAAATTCTACAGATACATGAACTCAACAGGGTGTCACCAATTATGAGCTGATTTCCAAGTTGATTGTTTGGAAACAATTTCCCACAGCAATAACAATACATGTGGAATTTAAATTTCAACCCACAAGATATATACATTGTGTTATTAACAGTTAGTAGAGCCTGATCATCACGTGTGCCATTGTTTTATGGGAAAACAAATTTCACGTTTCAATTCCCAGATGCTTCATGAGCACCTCTTTCCATAGCCCACTTTTTAGTGAGAATAAACTCTTCTTTTCTCCAGCCTCAAAGGAAATCCGAATCCTAAGGCATCATTAAAACAGGATCCCAAATCTCCATAGCAGAGGAGAGATGAGACACTGAAGCAGTTTAAAGATCGGGTTTTCAATGCGTGACATATAACTGTCCATTTTCAGGCTGGAAAAATGAATGGCTTTCTAGGAGGCATACTGTTCAACTCACCTTTACAACTTTCAATCACTGTGGCTGAAATAGAGTCATGAAAGACAAGATGTTGATAATACTTACAAGAGAAAGAAGAAATAAAATCCCTACTTTACGTCTACTTCCTGTAACCAGATCTGAAAACCTCAGTGACCTCTGTGGATTAAGCTGTATTTATAATTGTGGAAATTAGACACGGTGATGAAACACTGGTTCTTCCATTTTCCAGAGGCTGTTTTAACACCACATGAGTGGGGTGTCTAATTTTTCTGACCTTTGGTTATTTTATTCATACAAGCCATGCTCACCAAATGCCTTACTGTGTTAACTAGAATGGCTTCAGTTAAATAGCAACAGTGGAGAAAAAAATAAATTAATGCCTCTTCTCAGCAGTGACCTGACATTACACTTCCTGCCTTTTCTAAACTCTCCTGTAAAATATATACAATATTAAAATTTAAAATCCTGACATTTATAATTCTTCTAGTAATTTGTTTCTTTCTTCTGGCAGCTTAATCACTGCGGGCCTGGATTTTCTCACTTGTAAAATAAAGGAATTATGTCAAATAATATCCGAGGGTTTTTTAAAATAAAAATGTCCATAATACTACTTAAGTTTATACTGGGATTGAACAAATATGTAAATATAATGTGGACAATGAAAGTTGGGTTTTTCACTTTTGGAGAAAAAAAGTTACAAATAAGGAAAGGGGGGAGAATAGAATGAACTGTGTGGTATGGTATTAAAACTAAAGGTATTAGTATGAATTCATGGTTTATGTATATATATATGTGTATGTGTGTATGTGTATACATATATACACATGTAAATATATGTGTATATATGTGTATAGATGTATATGTGTATACATATGTATGTATGTGTATATATACGTATATTTACATATGTAAATATACGTGTATATATGTGTATATGTGTATACATATGTATATATGTGTATACATATGTAAATATATGTATGTAAGTATATATATATATGGATAGACAAAGATATATAGGTATGTGCTTATGCACAGATTAATATACAAACATATTTCCTAGCTCTGTCTGCTGAAAAAACCTAGAAACGACAAACTGGTAGCAATTAGCATACCTAGAGCCAAGATATTGGTTCTAAATATGATTCTCTGATAAAAAGAATAACAACTTCTTGGAGAAATTGTTGATTTAGGGCTCTGGCAGGGAAGATATAAGATAAGCCCAGAACATCTTGTGGTGCCAAAAAATAAAGACATGTTTGAAAAATGATAGAGCCATGTCAGAAGAACAGAGGAGCCAATTTGTAAGAATTCCCAATGGCCAAAGCTGGAACAATTTGAGTGACAAAATAAATAATGATAATATCAGATTATAACCCATGAAATAAACTAAATATCTAAAAGTCTATACTTATATCAATCAATCAATAGGGAAGAAAAAGATACTCCTCCTTACAATAGAACTTCATTTCACAGACATAAAAGAAATGAGGGACACATAAAATGACCATTAGGCAAACACAAGAACAACCCCAGAATGATAAAATTATTGGGCAAAACCATGAAAAGAAAATGAGATGAATATTTGCATAGCATTAAAGTATCTTCCCACAAGATATTTATTAATTGAAAAGAGAACATCCTAATTTTACTCTGGAGAAACACAGCAAACACCACCTTTATATAGTATTGAAAGTTAACATCATCAGTTATAAGACAGCAGCATCGTGTATGTCTTGGTGTGTTACACTGAGGACACAGTATCATTCCTGCATTCATACCAGAAATGCATCATCTCAATCTAATGCTGAGAAAATAACACACAAATGCAAAATAAGGGACAGTTTACAAAATGACCCAGGAGCACTCTTCAAAAGTATCAAGGCCATGAAAACACAAGGAGAGAGAAATTGTCACAGGTGAAAGGAGATTAGGAGATATGACAATTAAATACCATATAGTCCAGGATCCAAACAGACACTAGTGAAAAAACTGGTGAAATGTGAAGGTTTGTGAAGTAATTAATTGTGTCTCATCAATATTGATTTCCTCCTTTCCATAATTGTGTTGTGGTTATATAGGATGTCTATGTAAGTGGAAGGTAGGTGAAGATAGACAGGAATTCTCTGGAATATTTTTGCAACTGTTTTCTAAGCCTAAAATTATTTCAATTTTAAAAGCGCAAAAAGGATTGAGTTGTAATAATTTGCAGATTTTAATCAATAACATTTATTTCACAAGTACTGATAGAATGACTTCCCTCTGCTAGGCACTGTACTAAGAGACATCTAAAGATGCACAAGACACACACACACACACACACACACACACACACACACACACACACACACTCTTCCAGTTATTTTAAGCAATTCTTAATCACTAATATTAAGACAAGCATTCTTATTTTTCCAGAAATGAGAACCAAACATCTCTAATTATAATGGTGGTCTTATGACAAGAGTAATTAAGATTAAACATACATCAAATTATCTATAAATTTGATGTAATTCCAACTTTAAAATCCTCACCAAATTATATAGGCCTTCATAAATGGATTCTGAAGTTCATTTGGAAGATAAAATATGTTAAGAATAGCTAAAGGAATTTTAATAACTGGCCCTAGGAAATATCAGAGCATACTTGAAATCTATAGCTATTAAAATGGTAACATAGGAGCACAAGCAGACATCAATGGAACATGATGAAGGGCCAGAAACAGACTTATCTCTCTATGATAATTTAGTAGAGGATATTGATGATAATTTCATCTAGTGAAGAAACAGTTTGCTATTCAATAAATGGTATTGGCATAATTTGAATCCTTTGGGAAAAAATTAAGGTCATTTATTTACTCAACAGATATTTAAATGCTCACATGTTTTGGAAACAGGAATTTGATCTCTAACCAACTCCATGTACAAAAATAAATATCCAATATCATAAAGAGCTAAGTCATTTTTTAATCTATAAAATGTATTAAGATAAAACACGGAAGAACTTTTTTTTTAAATAATTTTAACTTTTATTTTAGATTCTGGGGGTTCATGCACAGATTTCTTACCTGGGTATATTGTGTGATGCTGAGCTTTGGAGTTCAACTGATTTCATCACCCAGGTAATGAGCATAGTATCCAACAGTTAGTTTTTCAACCCTTTCCCCCACCTTCCCTCCTCTATTGGTCCCCAGTGTCTATTGTTGTCATCGTTATGTCCCCAAGTACTCAATGTTTAGCTCCCATTTATAAGTGAGAGCATGCAGTATTTTGTTTTCTTTTCCTGGCTTAGCTTGCTTAGGATAATGGCCTCCAGCTGCATCCATGTTGCTGCAAAGGACATTATGTCATTCATTTTTCATGGCTGCATAGTATTCCATAGTGTCTATTACCACATTTTCTTTATCCAGTCCACCACTGATGGGTATCTACATTGATTCCACGTTTTTGCTATTATAAATAGTGCTGTAACGAACATATGAGTGTGTATGTCTTTTTGGTAGAACAAATTATTTTCTTTTGGATATATACTCAGTAATGGGAATGCTGGGTAGAATGATAGTTTCATTTCAAGTTCTTTGAGTAATCTCCAAACTGCTTTTCATGGTGGCTGAATTAATTTACATTCTCACCAACAGTGTATAAGAGTCCCCTTTTCTCTGCAGCCGTTCCAGCATTGTTGTTTTCTGACTTTTTAATAATAGCTAGAGGATAGTTTTTATCATCCTGAGTTGGGAAAGCGCTTTCTACCTAGCATTAAAAAATCTGCAAGGTCTAAGGAGAAAAACTGAAAAATGTAATTTCATAAAATTTTAAATGTTTACAGATAAAATATACCATAAACAAATTAGAAGATGTGGAACAGGCTGACAGCATTTAAATGTGTATAAAAGATCGATTAGAATATAAAATAAATAAAAAGTTTCTATAAATAAAAAGACAGAAAAATGGGGAAAGAATATAAACTGGCAATTTATCAAAAAAAAGTCAACGGGAAATGTATATACTCAACCTCTTAATAAAGAAATAAATACAAATTAAAACACTACTGAGATGCTTTCACCAAATTGGCAAAAGTGTTTGAAGATTATTCCTACTCAGGGTTGATTGTATGAACATGAAATCAAAAACTCAGATTGTTGCTGTAGATGAGATGCACATAACTTTTGACCAAAGAACTTGATTTCTATGAACCTACCAAAATACTCAAATGTGTACAAAAGAAGCACGTACAGGAAAGGTCATTTGAACTGTTTGTAACAGCAAATTACTGGAAACAGCATTAATATTCCTTAAAAGGAGAATGGTTAATAAAAAGCTACAGAACATCCAGGCATTGAAATACGTTTCAGTTATTAAAAAAAGAATGAGATAGTGTTACATGTATAGATATGGAAAGATCTTCAATATATTTTGCTGTGTGTGTAACAAACAAGTTGCATATCAGTTGATAGAGTATGATTACATACATATATTTGCATGCATACATAGATACAGACAAAGGAGAATTTACATACTTTAATTTAGATTTGTTTCATGTAATTCTTGGTTTGAATTTTTACATGGGGAATATATTCATTTATGATATATGGAACTAAAAATATAAAGTAAAAAATAAGCTTCTGTATGATTTAGAGCAGCTTTATGTAAATATAGCTGTTCGGTTCAACTTTTAAGATCAACCTTAAAAGGGGGAAAAATGGGCTAAAAGTAGAATATGCAACCAAAAATATGTATTCCTTGGTTTAATCTAGGATTAAACTAATCTTAGATTTAATCTAAGATTAAATTAAGGAAAAGGTTCTTTTGGTAAAGCTTGAAAATATGAATGAACACAGTTCATTGAGCTATATAGGTCAGGTAAATTGATGGAAGGAATATCTATATAATTTTATGTTGGAAGGCAAAATAGGGAGGAAGAGGCCAGTGGTCCACACAGCTCCCATTAATAGCCTAGCTGTTCACATGGTGTGTTCTGTGGACTCACACAGCCACACTCCTAGAGTTCACTAAATTGGAATGGTAAAAGCAAAACAAATTTAATTATGTGAATGCATTTCTTGTACACATGGAAGTAAATATTAGACTAAATTAAGAAGCAAGATATCAGTTCTACAAAGCCAGGTGTAAATAAACTATTAAGTAACATGAAAATTAGAGAGTAAGACTGCAGAACCAACACAAAACTAGAGGAAATACTTGAGAAGCAGTGGATGATGATGAAGCTATGATCGCACCATTTAAAAGCAAGCCTTTGAATTCCATAAGAAAACCCATGGGGGGAAGTCTAGAAACAGAATTCTCCAGCCATCCACCCATTGCTCAAACCAGAAACTGGGGATCATATTTTCTATTTCCCTTCCCTCTCCCTCACATCTTATCCAATAATTCAACTTCCAAAACATCTCTCCAGTCATTCTACTGAGTTCTACCTTCCATGCTTGGTCCCACCACTGACACGTCTCACCAGGACAACCACAATGACCTCCCAACCTTCTCTCAGCCTTCACTTCTTTCCCCACGGCCCATCCACATAACAACCACAGCGATCTTTTAAAAATTTAAATAGCCTTGTCCATTTCTGTTTAAGGGAATTGTGCTGCCTTGACCCTCAAGACAGCAGTTCTCGCCCAGACACACTCTCATTCTCCACCTTCTTCGTCAGTTGCTCTCCTTACTTTCCAAGCCAGCGCTGCTTCCTTTCCCTGTCCGCTTCCCTCCTCAGAGACTTCATGCTCACTTTCCCCAGATTTTTACTGCATTGATTCCTTCTCATCATTCATGCCTCAATTTAAATATTTATCAGTGACTGCTTCCCTGATCACACAATCTAAAATAGCCCCATTTCCATCATTTTGATCCCTGATCTTTCCCTTTATAGCACTTACAGACATGTATAATTATATATTCACTTGAGTGTATGCTTGTTTAATGACCCCTCCCCCAACCCCCACTTTCCCGTATAGACTGAAGGGAGGCAGGAACCGTGCCTGTCTCGTCTTCTATTATGTTCCCAGTGCTGAGCCTTGTATCTGGCATGCAGTAGGTGTTCAATGAATGAATGAGTAAACAAGCCAGAATAATCGGACCCAGAAATATGCTGAAGGGATATAAATGCCTAGCAAGAAGAAGGTTAGTAGGAATAACTATTATTTGTGTGATTTCAAGATACTAATGATGATATAGGGATAGATATAGGGCCCTTTTGGGAAGCCAAATGGCTGCACAAACAGTGTGGTAGGAACACAGTGTGGCCACTGTGTCTGCGCTGCACTGATTGGATCTAAGGATAATTTTGTAAACGCACCCATGGTGATTAGCAATTGGCTCATACTGAATAAACTCCTGACAGATTTATGTGTGCACTGCAATGCCAACTTATTAATTCATAATAATAATATAACAAGTCAACATGCAGCTCAATCACCACCTATAGGAGAGAGACAGGTAGCTAAATTATATCCAAATGATTAACTGCTCAGAAAAGATTCCTGGTCACAGATTACTATGCAGCTGAGATACCATCACCTTAGTCTAAGCTACCGTTGTCTTATGTCTGGTTTCTTGCAACAGCCTCCTGACTGTTCTCTGCACTGCCTGCCTCTCAAATCCATAAGGCACCCAGCAACAAAAGTGTTCCTTTTAAAACGCAAATCCAATCAGGTCCCTCCTCTATTCAAAACCCTTCAGTAGCTCCCCATTATATGAGAAGGAGCTCCAGCCCTGACTTGTGGTTTGTAAGGTTTGGTATGATCAGGCCCCTGCCTCCTCTCCAGCCTCATCAAGTGCCCCTCTCCCCAGCACTCCAGACTCCCCAACACAGAGGTGTGTGTTCAGATTTGAGAGTCTGACTATAGAAATGGGCAATGGCTAGATCATAAATAAAAACAGAATTCTGACCCTCAACCTGCAGCAACCAGCCCAGGAAGCCAGCCCATTATCCAGAGGAACCAACCAAGGAAGCCAGCCTGCTCTCTAGAAGCTAGACTTGTAGGAAGCCAGACCACTGTCTCTAGCAACTGATCCAGGAAGACAGAAAAGAACACCTCAATAACAGGACCAAAGTGGCCAGGACTTGACTGATGAGTAACTGACAGCTTCCCTAATTTTTGGCCCTACTTCCAACAGAAGAACAACCAGAGAAAGCCAAGTATGCACCTGATGCCCCACTTCCAGTGAGCCGCCTCCAGCTTCCCACGCCAACAGCTTCCAATCAGCACACTTTCGGAGCCTTCCCTTTTCTCCACGATGAAAGCTTCCCCACTCCTCTGACTGCCTTTGAGCCTCTGCCAAAACTCAAGTGATGGTAGCCGACTCCCTGCTACCGCAAGCTTGGAATAAACAGCCTTTGCTTTTCTCATCTGCTTTGTCTTCGTTTATTTCCACAAGATCCTTCACAGTGAGAAGCTGCTTCCTCCCTTGGAGCCTTTCTAACCCTGCACCCTCTGCCTGGAATGCTTCCTCCACCCTCCACGTGGTCAAACCTCTCCCTGTTTTCCAGATTTCAACTTGTGAATTGAAGACACCTTCTCTAACCACTCTGTAACCACTCCCTTCTCAGCCTCTTTTTTGGTTCCCTTACAGTGCGTGCCACAACTTGCAATCATTTCGTTTATTTTTTTGGTTTGCCTCTTTTCTACCTATCATCACCACTAGAATGAAAGCTTCATGAGGGTAGGGCTTCACTTCCGTTCAATCGGATCCTGAGGACCTAGAATAGAACCTTACAAACAGCAGGTACTGCAGAACTATGTTGAAAGATTGACAGGGTGAATAAATGATTGCATGCCTAAGGTAAATGCAGACTCAGTGGAAAAAACAATTGTGGCCAGCAACCCATTGAAAAAACCGGATTTTGAATGAGTCCACAGTGCTGCAGATTTGCTGATCTCCTTTGTGGACCGGGTGCAGGGTTGGGAGTTGGCTTCCTGTTGATCCCCTGTGATATACAACGCTCCATATCAGAGCAGTGGATGACGAACAGACATGGCCCCAGGATGCAGGGCTGAGTCTCAAAGTCTCATAAAGTCTCCAAACTGAGCATTTGGGTTACACAAGTTCTCTGGCCATCAAATGTTAGCCCTCCAGGCCTTCCCAGAATCCAGACCTCAATGTCAGCTTCATCTATCCAAACTGCTGAGAGAAGAGGTGGAATTTCACGGCTTAATAAGCCACAGGCCTTGTCCTTGAAGGACTTATCAAATCTAATCATTGGCCACAATTTCTTTGCAGCCAAGTGCATCAGTCAGGGCTCACCAGAGAAATAGAACCAACAGGATATACACTAAGAGATTTAATTTCAGGAATTGCCTCACACAATTGGGAGGGCTGGCAGGTTCAAAATATGCAGGGTAGGCCCGAATGTTGGAAGCTCAGACAGAATTTCTATGTTAGAGTCTTAGGCAGAATTCCTTCCTCTCTAGGAAGCCTCATTTTTCCTCTTCAGGCCTTCAACCAATTAGGTAAGGCCCACCCACGTTACTGAGAGCAATCTCCCTTACACAGAGTCACCTGATTGTAGATATGAACCACTTCTGCAAAATAATTTTCATAGGCCGGGTGCAGTGGTTCATGCCTGTAATCCCAGCACTTTGGGAGGCAGAGGAGGGCCGATCACCTGAGGTCAGTTGTTTGAGACCAGCCTGGCCAACATGGTGAAACCCCATCTCCACTAAAAGTACAAGAAAAAAAAATTAGCTGGGTGTGGTGGAGCATACCTGTAATCCCAGCTACTCGGGAGGCTGAGGCAGGAGAATCGCTTGAACCCAGGAGGCGGAGATTGCAGTGAGCTGAGATCGCACTACTGCACTCCAGCCTGGGCGACAAGAGTGAAACTCCATCTCAAAATAATAATAATTTTCATAGAAGGATCTAGATTAGTGTTTGCCCCAAAAGCTAGGCCCTATAGCCTAGCCAAGGAGACACATAAAATTGATCATCACATCAAGGTTTCAATGTTAAATCCCTCATTTTTTTTAAGTGAGTAAGATTATGACGTTCTCTGCTTAACACCCTCTGGGGCTGGCCATCACTCTCAGTTTAAATTTGCAGTCCCCTATCACGACTGGAAATGGCACAGCCTGATGTGACTCAGAAGGCACCTCTCTGGCCTGATCTCCTGCTGCCATACTTGTCACTATTGTACAGGGAGCACCTCAGCTGTCCCAGTCACCATCCTGCCTCAAAGCCTTGCAAGTTTCCTCCCTTTGCCTGGATGTCTTCTCTCTATGCCTATGGCTAACTCCTTCTAGAATTCAAGCCTCAGCTTAAATGTTTCCTCCCTTAAATGAGGGTTAGCTACTATGCTGCATAAAGTGACTCTCTTTAACTCTTGATCACATCACCTGCTGTCTCCTTCATCACCACATCACTATTTGTAACCACTGTTCATATAACTTGCCTAAAATTTAATTGGTGATTCTCAACCCGGGGCAAGTTTGGCCTCAGGTGACATTTGGCAATGTCTGGAGACTTTTTAAAAAACATACTATATTTATTCATTTATTTATTAAATATGAATTTTATTTTCTAGAGCAGTTTTAAGTTTTTAGCAAAATTAAGCAGAGGGTACAGAGAGTTCCTGTAGACCCTCTGCCCCCACACATGCTCAGTGCCCACCATTTTCAGCATCCCCCACCTGCGTGGTACATTTTTTTTACAATCAATGAGCCTGTGATGACACATCATTATCACCCAGAGTCAACAGTTTTCATCAAAGTTTCCTCCTGGTTTTGTACATTCTGTGTTTTTTGACGAGTCTAATGACATGTATCTAGCATTGTAGTATCATACAGAATAGTTTCACTGCCCTAAGAAGAATCCTATGTGGTCCACCCATTCATCCTTCTCTCCCCCACCAACCTCTGGTAATGACAGAAATTTTTACTGTCGCCATAGTTTTGCTTTTTCAGAATGTCATGGATTTGGAATCATACAGTATGCAGCCATTTCCAATTGGTTTCTGTGATGGTTAATTTTAGCCGTCAACTCAACTGGATTAAGGGGTACTCAGATAGCTGATAAAGCATTATTTCTGGGTATGTCTGTGAAGATGTTTCCAGAAGAGGTTGGCATTTGAGTCAGTAGACTAAGGGAGATCTGCCCTCACCAATGTGGGCAGTGCTCAGATAGGACAAGCAGGCAGAGGGAAGGTGAATTCTCTCTCTCTCTCTCTCTCTGTCTCTCCTGGAGCTGGGGCACCCTCCTCCTGCCCTTGGACATCAGAATTCCAGGTTCTATAGTCTTTAGACTTAAGGACTTGCATCAGCAATCCTTCAGTTTTCAGGCCTTTGGCCTCTAACAGAGTTATGCCATCAAACTCCTTGGTTCTGAGGCCTTTGGACCTGGACTGAGCCATGCTATCAGCTTCCCTGGTTCTCCAGCTTATAAATGGCCTATTGTGGGATTTCTCAGTCACCATAATTATGCAAGCCAATTTTCATAGTAAATCCCCTATTATCTATCTAGCTGTCTGTCTGTCTATCTGTCTATCCCATTCATATAATCTATTATCTATATATTCATCCATCTATCCATCCCATCCATCCCATCCATCGAATCTATCTATCTATCTCTAATTCATCTAATCTATTTATCTATCTATGTATCTAATCAATCTAATCTATCTAATCTATCTATTCCATTCATCTAATCTATTACCTATCTATCTATCTAATCTATCTATTCCATTCATCTAATCTATTATCTATCTACCTATCTAACTATCTCATCCATCGAATCTATTATCGATCTATCTCCTGTTTGTTGTCTCTCTGGAGAACCCTAATACAGCTTCTGTCACTTAGTAATATGCATTTAAGTTTCTTTCATGTCTTTTAGTGACTTGATGCCTTATTTCTATTTAGCTGTGAATAATACTCCATTGTCTGGTTGTACCACAGTTCATTTATCCTGAACCAAAGAACATCTAAGTTGCTTCCAAGTTTTAACAATTATGTATAAAGCTGCTAGAAGCATCCTATGCAGGTTTTTGTGTAGACATGTTTTCAACTCACTTGGGTGAATATCAAGGAGTGTGATATAGTTTGGATGTCTGTCCGCTCTGACTCTCATGTTGAAATGTGATCTTGAGATCAGACCTAGTGGGAGGTTTTGGGTCATGGGGGTGGATCCCTCATGAATGGCTTGGTGTCCTCCCCAGGGTAATGAGTGTGGAGTCCTGAACAGCAGGTGAGGAACGTGTAAGAACGTGGAGTGATTCGCAGAGTCAAATGAAGCCTGAGAGCCAACCAATGTATTTCACAATGTAGAGGCCACTGATGACCTCAGTAAGAGGGGGCTGGGGATGAAATCCTATTTGGATGGTATCTTAGTCTGTTTTGTGTTGTTACAACAGAATACCACAGACTGGGGGATTTCTAAAGAATTTATTTCTCACAGTTTTGGAGGCTGGAAAGTTCAGTATCAATGTACTGGCATCTGGTGAGGGCCTTCTTGCTGCATCATCCTATGGTGGAAGGCAAGAGGGTGAGAGCAGGTGAGAGAGAGAGATTGAACTTGCAGCCCCAAGCCCTTTTATGATTGGCATTAAGCCATTCATAAGGATGGAGCCCTCATGACTTACACACTTCCCTTTAGGCCTCACCTCTCAGTACTGTTGCATTGAGATTGAGTTTCCTGCACATGCTTGTGGAGAGACACATTTAAATGACAACAGACAGGTTAAAGAGGGAACTAGGGGAGGAATGAAAGACAGAGAGTAATAATAACTCAAAGAGTTTTGCTGCCAAAGGGAGCAAACAAATGGGGCAAGTGATGTGAGTGGACGTCAAGAGAAGGCTTTTGTTAGGCAACAGAAATAACGCAAAATAACCCAGAAGAAGGGGGAAACGATGGAGGAGAGAGAAGGGAGAGAACTGCAGGAGTAGATCAGAGCAGATGGGATTTAGTGTAGGAGAAGAAAGGAGCTTGGCTAGCTCAGCCATGGTAAAGGGCAGTCACAACATGTGGAAATGTGCTGTCTATGAATTCTACATGCTCACATGACAGACTGCAAAAGAGCTGACTGCCTGCATGGGGCCAGAACAGTCAGAAGCAAATGTTACTGTGGACCTTGTCCCTTGGACATCAAATGCTCCTCTGTCAATATGGTCAGGGATCCGTTCTGTAGGTGCCCTTTTCCTTCACAAGGAGGCAGAGACCACATCTCTTTCTACCTCGGCTCCCCTAGACAGACAGTGGCATTTGAAACAATCACCTTGTCCCTGTCTGTGTTTGGCTTCTAACTGCTCTATTCCATTTCCATGCTGCCAAGCTCCTGCCCTTTGCCTTCATCTCATATTTTGGTCTTTTTCTGGCCTCTTAGAATTGGTACTTGGATTCTGGTTTCTGGCTGGATTTCAGTATTCACTACTAACTTGGTTAGGACTTTCCCCCAGAGCTCCTGGCTGCCTTGAGCTGCATGCCCCGCTCTATTTCCAGCTCTTTGAGGCCCAGTCCCTGACCCTGGCTCGCCTGGCTAATGCCCTAGGCTGGATCCTCCATCAGCCCTCAAAAGGAAATTGATGTGTCCAGAGACAGCTCAAGTTTTGTGGTGAGACACAAATTCAAAATAGCAAAGTGAATTACCATTGATACATATTTATATATGAATTTTTGCATAATGCAGCCCAGATTCATATGTCAATAATAGCTGGAAGTATCCTATTGATGCAACAAATCATATGAGATGCTTTAATAGGTAGAAGTCTAAGATAGCCCCCCAAATTTCCTTTCCCTCCATCCTCCATATGTACCTCCTATGTAATCCTGTGAATGTGATGGAATTTACTCCTGTGATTAGGTTAGGATATGTGACGCAGTTGCCTTTAAGAAGGGAAATTGTCCAAGTGGCATTGACCTAGTCACATAAGTCCTTTAAAAAAGAGTGTTCTCCAGTGTCCTCTCAGAAGAAGCCAGAGATTCAAAACACAGGAAGGATTCATGGACACGCTGTTGCTGGTTTAGAGATGGAGGGGGTCACATCTCAAGACAGCCTGTGTGTGACCACCAGCTGACAACAGCAAGGAAATGAGAACCTCAGTCCAACAACTACAAGGAATTGAATTCTGTCAACAACAAGAACAAGCTTGGAAGGGGATTTTTACCCAAAGCCTACAGATGAGAAGACAATGTGCCTGACATCTCGATTTCGGCCTTGGGAGGCCCTGAGTAGAGAATCTCATTATGTTGTGCTATACTTTCCACCTGAAGAGCTGTGAGCTAATAAATGGGTGTTGTTTCGTATTAGTATTAGAAATGGTGTTGTTCTGTATTAGGGTTCTCTAGAGGGACAGAACTAATAGGATATATATATATGATATATATATGATATATGATATCCTGTGATTAGGTTAGGATATGTGACACATTTGCCTTTAAGAAGGGAAATTGTCCAAGTGGCATTGACCTAGTCACATAAGTCCTTTAAAAAAGAGTGTTCTCCAGTGTCCTCTCAGAAGAAGCCAGAGATTCAAAACACAGGAAGTGATATCATATATATGATATCATATATATATATCATATATATATATGGGAGTTTATTAAGTATTAACTCACACAATAACTAGGTCCCGTAATAGGCTATCTGCAAGCCTGAGGAGCAAGGAGAGCCAGTCCGAGTCTCAAAACTGAAGAACTTGGAGTCTGATGTTTGAGGGCAGGAAGTATCTAGCACCAGAGAAAGATGTAGGCTGGGAGGCCTACTCGTTGGGTCCTGCTCCTCGTTGGGTCATCCATGACTCACCACTTTCCACACAAGGAGCAGACTATCCCCTCACCTGAAACCATCCTCTCCCCACTTTCCTGACCCCAGGGCCAGGATGATATTTCCTGAACTCTGAATCCCAGTCTGGATCCAGCACACTGGGTTCCCATTTGTCTGGACTCTGGAGAGGAGGTTGGGACTGTTCGAGGCATACTTTTATGGAAGGAAAGAATTAAATGTATGTGGTAGCCCAGCAAGGCCAGGAATTCCTGCTTCGATCTTTCAATCCTCTCCTTTTTTTTTTTTTTTTTTTTTGAGACAGAGTCCCACTTTGTTGCTCAGGCTGGAGTGCAGTGGCTTGATCTCGACTCACTGCAACCTCCATCCCCCAGGTTCAAGCGACTCTCCTGCCTCAGCCTCCCGAGTAGCTGGAATTACAGGCACCTGCCACCACGCCCAACTAAATTTTTAGTATTTTCAACAGAGATGGGGTTTCACCATATTGGCCAGGCTGGCCTTGAACTCCTGACCTCAGGTGATCCACCCGCCTCAGCTTCCCAAAATGCTGGGATTACAGGCGTGAGCCATCACACCTGGCCACCTCTTCCTTTCTTTAGAGGAATTAATCCTAATAACATTGGTGTGACAGCCTGAAATGGTGATGCTGAATGCTTCAAATTCATATTTTTTTCTCTTCATCTCGGGTATCTATAAAATAACATAGAAATTCTTAGAGTTCCAGATCTAAAACTAGATCCTTGGATATTCGGAAAACCCTGAAACTACAGGATCTTTTTCAATCCCTTGAGCTGTGCTAGAAGTTAGTGGGGGAAGAATTGGATCTACAGGCTCTAAGCTCAGCACTCGTAGTGCTGATATGTGGCTATGGTGCAGCATGATATTTGCTTCAGCCAGACCCAGCAAGGTACTGAGAGGAGCAGGCAGAGGAAGAGGAAACACCCCACAGTCCCTAAGGGGTCAGGGTTCTATGACTTCAGACTTTCTTCCAGATCTGACATTCAGTGGGTGAGTAAGAGAGGTCAGGACTGGGTGAAGGCCAGGCAGGAGAAACGAGACTAGAAGTAACATGCCAAACTGAGATCCAATGCTGAGAGCTACTGAGTTGGCTTATTGGGGTCCAACAACAAGTGGATAGGACAGCTGGGAAGATTGAGGACCACAGAACAGTTGAGGAAAACCACAGAAAGTTACAATGGGGAACTTGTATTTACTGATTTTCTATATCTTATCAGGTGTCACCACCTGCCATGCATTTTCTTCTCAACTGCCTTGCAAAATTAGGTACTATCATCTCCACTTTACAAATGCAGAAATTGAGAAGACTCTGAATGGATAAATGACTTATCTTTTCATACCTAGTGAAGTGACAGTGTTAGAATTAGAATTTAAGTGACTTTGATTGACATCACCCGCCGTGTTATTTCCTGATGGTTCCTTGCTTATTTAACAGAGGCACTGATGACTCCATGACGAGTAAACCAAGTCTATTGAATGAAAATGTCCCGAGCTCCTACTGCATACCAGGCACTATACAGAAGCTATCTGCTTCTCTTTGCCTTGTAATCCATGATCCAGGGGAACACATTGTAGAGTAATAGCAAGGGGAAGCAGGGATTTCTGTGAACTCTACTTTCTATGGTAGCAGCAATCACGACATACACATCAGGCTTACTGAATGCCTACTATGCTTCAGGCGCTATGCTGGATATCAGAAATGCCATAGGCACCAAAACAGTCCTGTTGCACACCTATGCTAATTCCTTTGCTGTTACTGCACTGCAAAAGCCTTTGCAAACTTCAAGAATGGTCGTAAATAGTCTGACCCTCTTAAGTGAGACATCCTAAGGAATTGTTCTCATCTAAAAGTGAAAGTAGACCAGCTGACCCAAATGGAATCAGCAGAAGGAAGCCAAGAGATTTCCAGTAAATACATGGGAGAGTTTGGGCAAGATCCAAGCCCAAAAAGTCCGTCTCATTGTTATCTAAAGAAAGCAGGGAAAGAATATGATTGTAACTAGGAAAGCTGGAGTCTAATGAGTTTATCCCATCTGGGAAAATGTATTAAGAGAAGATGGTCTGATTGGAGCTTTAAAAAGGGATATTATAGTACAGATTGAGAATTTATTAGTGTTAATCTAATACTGCCAACTGAAGCCATATATTAAAATCATTACAGAGGTATGGGCTGCTGGAAGACAAGGGTGATTTTTTTTTTCTGGTTCATATGGGTCTTAAGATTATCCCACCCTCTTTATTTCTAATTCCATCTACATAAGCAGTCTTCCAATTAATATCTTGACTTTGGGTATAAGAAACTGGGGTCTGGGATGGGCACGGTGGCTCACGCCTGTAATCCCAGCACTTTGGGAGGCTGAGGCGGGTGGATCACCTGAGATCGGGAGTTCGAGACCACACTGACCAACATGGAGAAACCCCGTCTCTACTAAAAATACAAAAAATTAGCCGGGCGTGGTGGTGCATGCCTGTAATCCCAGCTACTCAGGAGGCTGAGGCAGGAGAATCTCTTGAATCTGGGAGGCGGAGGTTGCAGTGAGCCAAGATCGCACCATTGCACTCCAGCCTGGGCAACGAGAGTGAAACTCCATCTCAAAAAAAAAAAAAGAAAAATTGGAGCCTGGATTCCAGACGAATTATTAATTTGTAAGTCTACCGTATACATCAGTCTTTTATAAATTTGATTAACCTAAGTCAGTTTCAGAAAAGATGTATAATCACCTAGGAAAAATCCTACACTCCTACAGTCCAATATTACTGACAGTCTAGAGGATTGCAGGTCATTTCTCAGGGTCTGGTCCTTAGATTTGAAAGAACTGGGAAGTAAAAAAATTGGATTTTGAAACTAAGAACCAGGCCTGAGAAATGGGGGCCACGCCCAGGCATTACCATCTCAAGAGACACTTTTGAGAGATTGTTCTGTACTTCTCTGATATCATCGTGATCTTGCTAATGGCAAAAATCCCTCAGAGAAAATTCTTTAAAAGTGAGAATATTAGTAAATAATGGGTCATGCCTGCAATTTACTTCCTTCTTAGTCACTTAAGTGTTCTACAGGATTGCGGGTCTTCTCATCCTGGGACCTACAGCTAGAATACAACTCCTGGGGCTTTACTGGCCAGGGCTGCTTTGGTAGTTCTGTACGTTATTCTGATTTAATTTATATGACATCTTTTTTGTGGGGGAGGCTGAGGACAGAGTCTCGCTCTGTCACTCAGGCTGGAGTGCAGTGGCGTAATCTCGGCTCACTGCAACCTCCACCTCCTGGGTTCAAGTGATTCTTGTGCCTCGGCCTCCAGAGTAGCTGGGATTACAGGCATGCACTACCATGCCTGGCTAATTTTTGTATTTTTAATAGAGACGGGCTTTTACCATGTTGGCCAGGCTGGACTTGAACTCCTGGCCTCAAGTGATCCACCTGCCTTGGCCTCCCAAAGTGTTGGGATTATAGGCATGAGCCACCGCGCCTGGCCTGACATCTTCTTTTGTACAATAATCTTTCTTTGTAAGGAGTTGGCTTTCCACATTCCTGAATTTGCAGTCGGAAAATTGAATCTATCCTGAATGTGAATGCTGACCGAATGGAGAGTTACCTGTCTCAATCTGCAAACCCTCTGAATTATATTTGTTTATTTGTTTGTTTGTTTAACTTTTACTGGTTTGTTATAAAGGAATTACAAAGGATGCAGATGAAGAGGTGCATAGGGTAAGGTATGTGGGAAGGGGCGCAGGGCCTCCATGCCTTCCCTGGACTTGCCATCTTCCAGGAACCTCCACATGTTCAGTTATCCAGAAGCTCCTGAATTTTGTTTTTCTTGTATCCTCCTGACTTTATTGGAAACTTACTGTTTAAGAGGCAGCATTTATATTAAAAACAACTGCTTTGATTTTCTGTGGCAGGCAGTGAAGCTCTTTCACTGGCTGGAGTCTTCAATTGCGTGCCCCAAATGAATCATTTTAATGGCATTTTGGGGGATGTGGATTCTACACACAGGATTATCTGAAATGTCGTCCAGATTCCATGTTGAAGCAGTTGACCACAAAATGAGAGCAGTGCTTACAATAGACTGTGGATTCCATTTGATAAATATAAAGTCCAAATGATGGCTGATGAAGCTTATCAACAATATGGCTTTTTTGTTTTGTTTTGTTTTGTTTTTGAGACAGGGTCTGGCTCTGTCACCCAGGCTAGAGTGCAGAGATCTCAGCTCTCTGCAACCTGTGCCTCCTGGGCTCAAGTGATCCTCCCACCTCAGCCTCCTGAGTAGCTGGGATTACAGGCGTGCACCACCATGACCTGCTAATTTTTGTATTTTTAGTAGAGACGAGGTTTCTCCATGTTGCCCAGACTGATCTCAAACTCCTGAGCTCAAGAGATCCGTGCACCTCAGCCACTCAAAGTACTGGGATTACAGGTGTGAGTCACCACGCCCAGCCCCTCTACAAAATGTTATTTAAAATATTTAACTTTTAATTGTGGTAAAAAAATTGTATAAAATGTACCTTCTTGTCTATTTTTAAACATAGAGTTTAGTAGTGTTAAGTATATTCACAATGTTGTGAAACCAATCTCCACTACTTTTTCCCCTTGCAAAGTGGAGACTCTATACTCGTTAACCAATAACTCTTTATTCTCCCCTCCTCCCAGCCCCCTGGTAACCACTTTCTGTTTCTATGAATGTAACTTCTCTAAGTACCTCACATAAGTGGAATCATGCAGTATTTGTCTTTTTGGGACTTGTTAGTAATATGCTTTTAACGATAAAACCAGTTTCTCAACCGTACCTCCCTTCAGCTGAGAAGTAGCAGCAGACGTTACTACCTCATCAGGATAACAGCTCATCTTTGCTTCAGTGTGCCAGTCAGAGTGCTAAGAGCTTTATATTTAGGATCTCGGTTGGTCCTCCCAACAGCTCTGAGAGACAGACACTCTGATTTCTCTCTGCTTTACAGATGTGGACCTGGGACTGAGATATTCAGTAACTGGCTTAGTATCACACAGGTAGTAAGTGTTAAAGTCAGCATTCACACTCAGGCAGTTAGGCCCCTGAGCCTGTGTTCTTCACCACAAGACCACACTGCTACTCATCACGGTCGGTAATTTGCCTGGGATGCAATGCCATTCCCTTCCAGACAGGGCAGACATTTCTCAGATGAGAACGCCAGTAAAGCTAACATCAAATTTGCAGTGTGTTCAAAGCAGTCGCCCTAAGAACAAGGCTTACCCGGGTTTCTGCAAGGAAGCTTCATGCATTAGCGTAGCAGATGCTCTATGTCCGCTGCACCTGAGCTCACTTCTGCATTGGCAGAAGTCAATTTCTGAGCACCCGACAACTTCTCCCTCAGCGGCCCTGCCTGGGTTTTTCTCAGGTGCCCAAGTCATGCCAGCTTGCCCAGCCAGCATGCGAGGCAGCGGGACTGCTGAGGATGTAAGACCCTCGGGGTGGGGGTGGGGGGACAAATGCCCTAGCTACCCAGGGATGACTCCTCTCTTTCCTCCTTCCCCACTGCCATTCCTCCCTTTCCCCATGCCCTCATGTGTATTTCCTGGGTCAACCCAGCAAACCACCTTCTATGTCTTTGTCTCAAGTGCGCTAGAGAACGCCAACTGAGACAATCAGCAAACATGAAAGCGGGATTGCAACACCGGCTACTCCTCAGATTGTTGTTGTTGTTGCTATTTTTAACAGAACTGCATCCTCAGACCAGATGTTTGTTGGAGTGTCTGGGGATGCCCAGTCTTGACAGTGGGGCATTGGGCAAACATGACTCTTAGCTAAACACCTAATTCCCTATAGCATGAAAATACTGGAATTCAAAGAAAACTGGCCAGCCTTGTTCAACAGCCCCCTGGTAAACAGAACAGATACTGTGTCATTTTTAACAACAAACAGCATAAATTAAATTTGAACCGAAGTGTATGTGTCATTGTTGGCTCTTTACAGAATAAATGAAATGCAAGCTGAGCAAATCTAAAAGGCAAATCATTTTCTCACTTTCTGAAGAAGCCACCTGTGGGTCTCTGTTCATTGGTACTAAGCCTCACCCTCGGAGCACCATATACAATACAATGGGTCTCCATGTATTTCCCATTTATACTACCACTGAGATAAATGAGGCATTCAAGAGAAAACAAAGCAATAAATGCATGTTACAAATCAATTTTATCAGAGACATTTTACTTCATCAAAAAAAGAAATAACTACATTGGACTCATTAGAAAGTGAGAAAAACACCATTTTGTCACAGTCTTAAGCAGCTGGTTCTGGTTTCAATGATTAAGTGGAAATTAATCAATCAAAAACAATCAAGCAAATACCCTGTTGGAAATTTACCTTTAAATAAGCAGTTGTCTACAGCTAACCTTACAGAAAGATGGCAGCCAAGACTTGACATAGTGTGAGAGGGAAGATGTTTTCATGTTTCAGGAGCCCAGTGCATAAACTAGGCTCAACACATGAAGCTCGGCTCAAGAAATTCACAAGCAAAGATCAACCACTCAAACCAAATACAATAAAGTGATTCTGTAATGAAAAGTAGTGGTTTCAATTTCTCAAAAAAGTTTGATTCAAGGGGACATGTGAATAGGGATGAAGACAAAGAAAATTAAAATGCAGGATGGTTCTAAGTGATAAAGAACCTTTTAAAAAAAACTGTCATAATTAGATGGAAAATTTCCACACCATCATTTGCATTGAGAGATTTCCCTTAATTTCCTACTGCCATGACAGTAATGAAAGAAAAAGAATGATGGGAGAATAGGATTAATCAAAATAAATAATTCTTTCTCTAAAAAAAAAAAAGATAGGGAGGAAGCTTTAAGAAAGAAGAGAGTAGAGAGCTAGAGATTTCTTAATTTAGTTTGGAATGTTTCCATTGGAATGAAGTCAGAAATACTCATTCTGCTTGTCTACATTCTTATCTATCTCTAGGTGTGTCAGTGTTTTCTATTTTTAGAAGACTCTCAAAGATGAAAATCATGATTTATTTATGTGTAATGGAATAACATTTGGTGGATAAATCTACAAACAATTCTCTTTGCACTAATTAGAAGAGTTATTAATTTTTTGTCTTCAGATACATAGTGCTGTGTAATTATTGAGTGAGCCTGTTTAAGAATATGGATGGTCCGAACACCTCCCAAATAGAAAGGGACCATCCTCAGGCCTGAATGACACTTTGAGGTGTTACTGCCAGTGAGTGAAAATATCTGACCTGCCAGTATCGCAGGAGAGTACCATAGAACTTTTTATTCTGCATAGCCATTAGGGAACAAACCATCCTATAGAGGACAGGAGTGTTGATCTTTGACTACGAACATTTAAAATCTTTGAACTTTATAAAAAAAAAACAAGGTGAAAATGCTTGAATGCTTACATACATTATGTGGTATATAATTAAACCTTTTTGGGTGTAAAAGTATTATTTCAGCTCACAAACATGTTTTGTGTTCAAGATAGTGCATGATGTCTTAGACATACAGAAATGGGATTAAGGCTTTTTCTCAATGAGCTTACACTCTGATGATGGAGTAGCTATATCAGTTTTTTACAGAAAGAGGTAAACAAAGATATAGATGTAAACTGTAATCTGTATGTTAAAGTAAAGACACAAAGAGATATCTAGAATGACTCCTGGGTTTCTGGTCCAAGTTACTGTGTAGACTGTGGAGCTGTTTGCTGTGATGGGAATGAGAATGTCCCCCCAAGGATGAGCACTAAGGGAGTGATGACGAGCTCACTTGTGAGTTCTAGAGATGATGATGAAGATGACGTGGGATGTATGGCCCCAAGAGTGGCCCTAACATTGACTTATCGAGAAAGTCATTGACTTGAGCATGCATTTTTGGCATCTAGCTTATTATTATAAAAATGAAACAAGGCTGGGAGTGGTGGCTCATGCCTATAATCCCAACAGTTTGGGAGGCTGAGGCTGGTGGGTCACCTGAGGTCAGAAGTTTGAGACCAGCCTGACCAACATGGTGAAACGCTGTCTCTACTAAAAAAAAAATTTAAAAATTAGCTGGTCATGGTGGTGCATGCCTGTAATCCCAGATACTCGGGAGGCTGAGGCAGGAGTATCGCTTGAACCTGGGAGGCAGAGGTTGCGGTGAACGGGGACCACACCACTACATTCCAGTCCGGGCGACAGAGCAAGACTCCGTCTCAGAAAAAAAAAAAAAAAGAAAAGAAAAATAAAAGAAACAAAATCTTTCGTATACCACCCACACACATTCACATATTACTCATGTTTCAGAGGACTTTGTATGTGTCCTTCAGTGCACGTGGCTGTTTGTCCCCTCAGAGTAGGAAGCAGCTGTTCTAACTTCCGTCTTCGCAGAAGGTTGTCATCTCCTCTGTGGTGAGGGCTCTGCAGAGTCACTGCTTGTTTGACCACATTCAGATTGCGGCCAGGGCTAAAGTCACAGCTTACCTCTTCAGCTCTCTACCGAACTGTATTTTCCTTGACCTGTTTCTTGCCAATCTTTTAATGTTTCTCATCCTCCAAGTTAACAACCCAATAAAAATTAGTCTTTTGTTAACATGCACCACAATGCTTCTCTTCTCAGAGGCCAAAGGACCTGCCTCAGCAACAGGGCTCTCACCTGCACTTGGCATGTTTAGAGTTAGGAGTTCCCACTCCACTGCCTTCTTGCCTCTGGCGAGGGCGAAATGAGGGGTGTTGTCCTGGCTCTTCCCAATTTCAGTCATTTCACAAGTCTGCAGTGTTCAAGTGCCTCAACTTGCAAAAACCATGGTTTTATAACATGTTAATCTTGAATTTGGTGTTTTCACTAAAGGCAAGCATCTTCAACTATAAAAGTTTTATTTTATTTATTTATTTATGTATTTATTTACTTTTTACCTCAGATTCTGCCAAGAAGTTCTTGAAACGATGTTTCTTGTGCCATAATAAACCTGGAAAAATAGCAAATAGATACTACACTAGTTTCATATTATGAAGAGATTTGTATGTGCTGTTCAGGAGGCTGAACTGTGTTTAGAAGGCAAAGAAAAGCCCTAGCAGGTTTCAGATAGAGAGCAACAGAGATCTTCCTCTTTCCCTTGCTCACCTCTTCCCAGGAGTAAAGAAGCCAGTGTAATACATTTCCTTCTGAGAACAAAGCACTGTTTTCTGGCCTCCACTGTTTCTCTGAAAGTGGCTTCTCTGTGCTTTTAGTTTTTCTAGGAGTTGAGAGAAAGACCACTCCAGAGGACAGTGAGATTAGCCCCGAATGGGGGCCCTTTTGCTTTGTCCACACCAGATCCATCCCTGAGTGCACTGTGATCAGCCACTTCTCTATGTTTTTCTGATATTTTCACTTCCTGCTTGCCCCCTTCTCCCCCACAGTGGACATATGATGTCTTATTCTTTCCACTCAGCTCAACTGTGTCCCTTTGGGGAGAATCAACACTTTTCTCATCTGATTTGCCATATAATTGATCAGATATCTCCATTATAGTTCCTATCATACAGTGTTGTGATTAGTGTATGTAACTATCACATGGCCAGGGAGACCTACTCTAGGTATCCCCAGAAACCAGCAAAGAACATGATACTTCTTGGCCTCAGCATGTACCTGTTGAATAGAAGGAACTAATTGAATTAAATAAGGATAACTTGGCTGGCATTTTTCTTCCTTTGAACATTATAAGTACTTGTGGGAAAAGGTAATATTATCAGCATCCTCAAACCAGAAGAGATGATAGACAATGAAATATGACAAAAGCATACTGCAAATATTACAATTGCAGCATTTGTTCTCCCTACAATACCAAATGATATGCAGTAAAAAGACTTAATCCAGGGAGGAATCAGGATTTACACAAAGTAAATATTGAGAAAAGGAGTGACTTAAACAGCAATGAAGAAAAAAAAAAGAATTATCTGCATGCTACCATTCACCTCAGTTCAGGGCCTGTCTTTTCCCAAAATTTGTTTTTAAGTTTTTGTGTGGAGTTCTTTATCACACAGATCACCGCGCTTGGTTAGGCCTGGCCCTCACTCTGATGTCAGACATGACACCTCTTGGTCAAGCTGGGACCAGTAGAGTGATTAGTTTCGTTGGTGTACATCTGTTCCACTTCCTTCAATTCCCTGTTTCTGATTATTTTTTTCTGCATCTTCCTAAGATGCATTTTTTTTTCTTTTTTTTCCGAGACAGAGTCTTGCTCCTATCGCCCAGACTGGAGTGCAGTGGTGTGATCTCGGCTCACTGCAACCTCCACCTCCCAGGTTCAAGTGATTCTCCTGCCTCAGCCTCCTGAGTAGTTGGGATTACAGGTGTGCACCACCATGCCCAGCTAATTTTTGTATTTTTAGTAGAGACGGAGTTTCACCATGTTGGCCAGACTGGTCTCAAACTCCTGATGGTAAGTGATCCGCCTACCTCGGCCTCCCAAAATGCTAGAATTAGAGGCATGCACCACTGTGCCCAACCCTAAAATGCATTTTCTATTATTTATTCTCCATGACTTTGTTAATTTCCCCTTCTCTTTTTATATGTTATTGTCTATATGATACTGGCTAAATTTCGAGATGATCATTTGGAAATGTCAGCATTATCTATACATCATTTTTGGACAATATGTTCAAACACAATTAT
Source organism: Homo sapiens (assembly GCF_000001405.40). NCBI lineage: Eukaryota > Metazoa > Chordata > Mammalia > Primates > Hominidae > Homo > Homo sapiens. The sequence continues at coordinate 11,977,990 of NC_000006.12, forward strand.
AGTAGGGTTTATCTATTACTTTATACATGTTGCTTAGAAAAAATGCATATTAGGAATTTCTCAAGTAATTTTAAATTTTAAAGGCAACCAGATCTTAGCACTTCTGTTTTAAAATAAACAACAGTAAATAATTGTATTTCATTGTGATACCAGAAGATCTTCTAAAATGTTTGTATATTTGATATGTATACATAGCATATATATGCCATGTATATTTATTTGCCACATATATACTAAAAAGTCATATACATTTATGTATTTGCCACACTCACTTGTATGTGTATGTGTATGTGTATGTGTGTGGTTGTGTGTGTATTTGTCACTTCCCTCATTTGTCATTTGCCTCTTAACTATAAATGGCATACTTGGGTTACCATTGTTTATAGTGCTTATCTTATTTAACTGATCAGTATTTTCTTTACCAGCTTGCCTTTACATGTCAGAAAAAGAGTTACCATAAACTTTAGGTTCCAGGGATCCTCACTTATATGGGCCATTTTCAAGGCTCTGGAAGGAGTCCTAGTCATGTGTTATTCTGGTCATAAATCTTCCAAAAGTCAGATACTTTAACAACATTCAGTTTCTTTTCACTTTTACTTCCGGTCCATTACACTGAACTTCATGTTAAATGACATCAGAGACTAAAGGCAGTTAGAGGTCTAACTAAGGGAAATTGAACTTAAGATACATTTAGTTTAGTAGTATGCATGTATGTAGTTTGCTCTCATTTCTGAGTACAATTTAGTTCTTTCTAGCTATGTCTCTGTAGCAATGACTTCCAGGAATAACAATATGCTGGAAATATACAGACCTGGGAGCTAGTCTGCAAAATTATAAGCACAGGGTTTGGTTTTCATCAATACCTAGCCATAACAGAAATTTTCTCCTGTTAATGCACAAAAATAATTCCAACTTGATAATGCAATATATATAATTTTGTATATGTCCATACAATAAAAGTATGTGCTGTGTATTTCAATATGTCAGTAGAAACAATTCTGACATTTAGAAGCAAAATATAGCCAAAAACCCCTCACCCAATACTGAAAACAGAATTCATTAAAATAAAGAGATAAATTTGAAATGTAAGTGGTGAATACACCATAGAATTGTTTGATTTTCCAGTTAATAAAGAGGAGTGTAACAAGCTGAAAAAAAAATACATTTTTCACTAATTTGTCAGGAAATACAAACATCAAGAAAGATAAATACAAATAATGTAAAAAAATACAACATTGCAATACCACCAAGGACAGTTTGTTCAATTAGTGTAACCAATTCAAAGAATGTCTTAAGGTTAGACTTTATAGAGGAGAACTTGAAATGCCCCAAGGTCTTCCACTTCATATATGAAGAAACTTAGAGGTTTTCCCAATTCAGCAACAACACTAAAAATTTACATGATATTATCTATTATGAGTTGTGAAGCTGTAAGAAAGGTTTCCAGTCTATCAATTTAAAGAACGTGATTTGATGAACCACGACAAAAAGGACTGGTGTATATTTTTATTTTTCTCTTTAGAAAATTATATTACAAAATCATTGTCATAGGAGGAAGCAAAATACAGCCCAAAAAAGTAGAAAAAAATATTGTAGAGTATGTTAATAAAAATGCTATGTTATTTTTCTGGGATTTTGTGATGTCAATGGTATTTATCAGCTTTGTTTTCTCATTCTAAGCAGATATCCAGTTTTGTTTCTAATTTTGCATTTACGTTTTTACATTACTTCATTTAATGAAAGTTCTAAAATTGATTAAGCTTGGTTCCCACAAAATCTGTATCCAACCCTTGTTTGAGGCTTAGAGAATTCTTGATTATAAACATAATTCATTTTCTGTATTCAAAATATTTAATCTTGAAGCTAGGTGCAGTGGCTCATGGCTGTAATCCCAGCATTTCGGGAGGCCAAGGTAGGAGGATTGCTTGAGGCTGGGAGTTCAAGACCAGCCTGGGCAAAGCAGGGAGAATCTGTCTCTACGAAAAATTTAAAAAATTAGCCAAGCATGGCGGCATCTGCCTGCAGTTCCAGCTACTTGGGAGGCTGAGGAAAGAGGATCATCTGAGCCCAGGAGGTTGAGGCTGTGGCAAGCTGTGATTGCGCCACTGCGCTCCAACCTGGGCGAAAAAAAAAAAAAAGAAGAAGAAAGAAAGAGAAAGAAATATTTAATCTATCTGGAATTTATTTTAGATTATGGTATAGGGTGGAAAATTTGTCCTACTTTTTCAAAGCAGGCCAACTGTTCCAGCACCATTGTTAAGTAATATATTTTCTCATTGTTAATAAAAGTCACTTTAGCATAAATTCTTAAGTATGCTTGAAATCCTCCTAGGATTTTTGTTTTGTTTCATTGTTCTATCTATTCCAGTACCATTGTTTTAATTGGTTATATTTTGATAATATATTTTGAAAACCATTAGTGCAAATGTCTTCTCATTCTTAGTTTTCAAAAATTTAATTATTGCAGTATGTTTATTTTTCTAGTTGAAATTTGAAATCACTGTTACATGTTTTTTAAAAAAAAACTCATTAAAATTCTGACAACTTATAATTAATTTAGCAGAACTGACATCTTAACAATACTAAGTCTTATCTGCAGCGTCGTTTTTTTGTAGTTGTCTATGTCCCTCGGAAAATGTTAATACTGTCTAATGGATTTTAGGCATTCCTAATTAAGTATATGTCTAGGCAGTTGATATTAGTTGTTAGAAAACTGTTTTAAAATTAACGTCTGTATGATTTGTAAATGGCCATTTTACTGAACTTGCCTATTTAAAGAAATCAGCTGCAAACATTGATACTTCTTTATTTGTGTATTTTGAAACTTATTTAGCTTTTCCCATGATATTGGCCAAGATTCACAAAATAGTGTAACTGTTTACACCAAGTATTTATGATTTCCAATGGAATACCTCTGAGAGAGAAACAGAGAGGTCCATTTTGATATGTATGTATTTATCGATGTATATATGAAATGTTGAAGGAATATTCTTTCTAGTTTCCTTAAATACTCTGTCAAACATGGTTGTTAAACTAAATTAGGTGCTTTTGGAAGATATCTATTGATACTGTCTTTTTAAAAATCATTTGTATCTATTACATTAATAGATTTCTTTATACTTCTTGATTCCAAGAATAAACTCTAGTACGGGGATAATTTATTGCTCTTTTAATACGTCTGGGTTGGTGATTTTATTTAGGATTTTTTAATTCTCTATAATCATAAGTGAAATTTAGCTATAGTTTTCTTTCATTGTGATAATTTTATCAGGTTTTGGTATGAGGTTAAAATAAACTGGGAAGATTTCCATCTTTATTCTCTGGGACATTTTAAATTGCAAAAGAAATCTATAATTTCAGAGTCTAAAATAACATCCATAAAATCATCTGGTTTTGGCAAATTTGAAGGGATAATTATCATCTTTTTCAATTTTATTCATGGTGGATCTTCTACATTTTGAGCCAATTTTGGTTATTTATATATTCCAGGCAGACAATCTATTTCATCAAGATATTCTCACTCAGTTGCATAAAGTTTTATGGAGAAGTAGCTCCCAATGTTTTGTTCTTGCCTCCTATCAGTTAAAAATGCTTGAGTAGGCACCCCAATTTACTTATTTAATAATTGCATGTATTTACTACTAGACTAGTGGATTACATAAAGTATAAAACACTCTTGTAAATAGAAGAATTTTAAAGATAAGATAAAGATGAAATAAACTATTTAAAAATAATTTATATTTAGTTCAATCATGAAATAAAAAACTTGTTGCTTCTCTAAAATAGTCTTAATATTAATATTTTAGTAAGAATTATGTCATTAAATAGGTTTTATTTTTTTTAAATCTTGGTTTAATAATTTGTGACATAGTGATCAAAGATATTTTTCTAAATTCAATTTATTTTGGTATTCGTTTTAAAAAGTTACCCTAGCTCTAAAGATACCTCACAAATACACATAGGTCCAAATTGGAAAAAGTAAGTGCATCATTGTCAGTCTTACTAAGTCATCATGTGCATTCTTTTCAGTCCCATTTACTAATCATGTAGATAATGGTTGAAATATTAAAAAATATTTGCTTTTCCTGATGTCAGTCAGAAGCTGTTGAATTTTTAAATTTTTAACAAATGAGTTTAAATACCACTGGGACTGTACACAGGTTACAAAGCAGGTTATATATTTTGTGGTCCTGTTTTTAGAGTAGGCAGATTTAAGAAATTTTGTAAGTGACAAACATCGTTTTCAGCAACAAAAATCACATAATGATGGGAACATTTCCAATTATTCTCAAAATGCTGTCTCCATTGCAGAAGTTTGTTTAAAAAGCCAATTATTTTCTATTCCCTTGTAAAAGCATATCACTTTTACCTTTGAGTGGCAGTTTGTGCTAATATTTTTTCAGTGTTGGCTGGGTTGATACAACTGACAGCCATTTACCTTCACAGAAATGATCAGTTAATTTGGGACACTTGTCTGTCTATAAAGGACATATACATAACTCACCAATAGCTTAAATCAGTAAACAAATTAAAATAGCTTAAAATTTTTCTTCAAATTTAAATCCCAGACATCCTGCAAGAGGAAATGAAATTCTATGTATTCTTCATTGATTTTTTTAGATGGCCATCTCATAACTGTTATCAAAAAATTACAAGTTTGCAAAGATGTAATTTGTGGAATATGGTAACCACAGACATTAAAAAAATAAAACTTAAATCCCATCATACTCAGTGACATTCCAATACCATAGCAATTTGACACCCACACTGTCCATTCTTAAAAATATATGTATCAGATTTTATCTAACAATGGGAAATTGTACTTTATCCCTTTTTCTTCCCGGACTTTTATTCCTATTCCACTTCAAGCCCCCATTCCCAAGAATGTATTTAGTATATATTTATTTTTGAAACTCTGTTAATCATCAATATTTTCTATGATAAAAATATGCATATAAATTGAAAGATTAATTTTTTAATTACCTGTGAACACAAGGCTCTAAGTGTTAATTGCCTTTCAGAGAGAGCTATCATTGCGACTGTTAGTAGTACATAATTAGTCAAAACAACGTAACTACATTATAGATTTTCACAGATAATCATCAAACAACAATTTTTAAATTATCAAAAAGAAAGCTCTTAATGAGATTAATGGGGTCAGGTTATTTTCATTTGCCCCTAGATAAATATTGTTCATGATTTGAGTGAGACGGGGCTCACATCAATTCTGTTCATATATTTTATGTTTCTAGATGTACGCCCTGAGAAACCTTGTTCATATAAATAGACAGAAATGGAAATTCTGTTGCTGCTCAATGTGTTTACCCACTTCTGGGTTATTTGCTGAGAAGTTACCAACTGATGAAATTAGTTCTAATAATCTATCTTTTGACAATTCTAATTCATTCTTCAATTGTGACAAAAGAAAAGAATTAATGTGCTCCCCAGTGGTTAGAGTTTGTTCACTTAGGCTTCCTTGAGATTTATCAAAGGATTATTATATGAGTCAGCCTTTTCCGTGTAACCAACCAACAAAATCTCAGTGGCATGTAAGAAAAAAAGCAGTTATTTTTCTCCCTAGCAAGTATGCAGGTGAACTGGGGCAAACCTGGGTTCGGCTGCAAGTCAGTGCCAGCCTGTTCCGTGTGTCTCATTCTGGGGTCCAGGATGAAGTCGCAGTGGCTCCCTGAGGCATACACTCCTTGTGTCGGGGTCAAAACACACAGTACATCTTAAAGCCTACACTTCTTAGAATGAGCACATGGTCACTGGCCAAAGAAAGTCAGAGAGCATGCCCAGCATCAATGGGCCGATGAATATTCTTACCATGGATGTGTGAGATGGGGGAGTGAATGTTTGCGGAATAATCTAATATAACATACCCATTAGCTATTATTCTTGTTGTATATATTGTTTTGCTTTGAATCTAGTTTTCACTTAGCAATAACTTGTTCAAATCAATATATGAAAAAGAATTGGCAGATTAAGAAGAGATATGAGAAAGGTTTTTGAGATGCTAGTAGTGTTTCTTTATGTTTTTACCTGTGTGGTGGATATGCACGTGAGTTCACCGAGTGATAATTCAGTGAACTGTACATTCATAACCTATGGACTCTTTCTGTATGTTATACTCCAAATAAAAGCTTATTCTTAAAAAGGAGTTGAGAAAATCAAATTACTTTTTATATCAAAAATTTTCTAATGGAATATATTTATAATGATCCCTTTTATCTTATTAAATGCTTTAAATATGTATTTTTATGTATTTACAACTAATAATGGAACCAATTTATTGAAAGCTATAGCTTTAGAGCATTCAATTTATGGAAAATGTCTGCTATGAAACCTAATTAGCAAAGCTATTTCTCATTTTGAAATCTATCAACTAATAGAGATTTAGTTTGCATCAGAAAATCACTCACTGCATTTTTCAAATCAAATAAGTGTCAATATTGATTTACAAGTATTATAAATAACATGTACATAAACATGTTAATATTTCAAGGAATGTGATGAAAACACTGCAAAATAAATTATGGAGCACATTTTGCAACAGAGTTTACTAAAGGTGATTAAGATTAAAATTGTGTAGATTCAATATAATGAAATCATCCACTTTACAAGTTAAAAAGCAAGAGTAAATCTATACACTGTTTCTTATACCTTAATTTCTAAAAATAAAATGTAATATATAGATAAAGTGATGTTATGAAGGGAGGAATGTGATAAAAACATGATGTTTATTATATGTGTGTGCATCTTATGTATTGAATTTTGGTATTTGGCTTTTTGGAACAGTTAACTAAAAATCATATTTACAAATCCAAAAATTGCTTCCTTAATTTTGTTTGCATTATTAGCAAACATTTTCTGTAATCAATGAAAGGTTCTATACACTGCTAAAAAATAACTATTCTAGCAGCTATTACATAACATAAAATATTTAATAATAGGTGGAAAATGTAAACAATTTAGAAAATGAACAAGATATTTTTAAGATCTGACTTGATAAAATATATGTTAACCAATAATTGAATAATACATTCCAAATCTAAAAAAAAAATTGCTATCATTTGAAACATTTGGACCCCAGTTACTTTTAAAGCAAATGGTATCACCAATCTCCACTGCTTGTTCCTTGAAGATGTTTTTCTTCCCAGTCAATGTCACATCCTTGGGAGGAGAATTGAAAGTAGCTGAAGAAAACTGCTTACATTTAAATGAGAAAAAAAGACAGTCATTTTTGGCATCAGTGTGTTTTACCAATGCTCCCTTTGCTTTGCGGGTGCAAACTCTCCCTTGGAGAGCAATGCACTTTTTGCCAATCCTTTTGAGAAGTAAAAGAAGAGGTGGTAAAAGATAACTGTCATTCCTTCCCCTCTCGGAAATGTCAGGTTTCAGGATGATCCACCAAGGGCAAAAGACTCTGCTTCCAATACACCTCTATATCTTTAAAAAGAAATATGTAGAAGAGAGTGAAATACTAGAAAACTTGTGGACTTTTATTGATCCGTGGATTAATTATAAAAGGAAGGCTCCAAGAAAACAATATTTTCAGAAGTCCCTTGGTTTGGTTCTCTGGCGGCACCTCACATTAAGGGGCCAGATACCACTATGGTAAAATCTCGGAGCGGTGAGAGGTAAATCTTTCATGATGATCAGTGATGCTGTTCACTGAACCTTTCCAGGCTCTCTGTCTGCCAGGCTCTGTGGGGCCAAGGGAATGCATTGTAAAGAGAAACAGTGACATTCTGGAGTGGATGGTTTCCCACAACATCCTGACAAATTCAACTTTCTTTTTTAAAATGGGAAAAGTTTTACTTTGAAAGATGAGCTAAGGAAAAAGAGAGCCCACTTTATAGAAGGGAAGAGTATATACCAAAGTTGTGCCGTGTATATTGAGACCTTTAAACTACCCACATTGTATACCTTTTTAGAGTCTCTATTTAGCCCAGTTTGAAGATCATTTGTCCAGGGGGAAAAACATTCTTTTAAATAGTTTGACAAAACACAGCTAGGGAATCTCCATGGAAAATATATTCATGTATTCATGATAATTCCTCATCTCATTTCAGGAAATTGTAAACATTCTTTTTCTTTCTTTCATTCTTTTTTTTTTTTTTTTTTTTTTTTTTTTGAGATGGAGTCTCGCTCTGTGGCCCAGGCTGGAGTGCAGTGGTGTGATCTTGGCTCACTGCAACCTCTGCCTCCTGGCTTCAAGCAATTCTCCTGCCTCAGCTTCCCAGGTAGCTAGGATTACAGGTGTGTGCCACCATGCCTGCCTAATTTTAAACATTCTATTATTTTAAATAATTTATTCTGCACTCTATTTAGCTAAGTATATGTGTCCCAACAAACTAAAGAACCAAAAGCATAAACACCAACTCCTTAGGATAGTGAAACCCTCCCCTTCCCTCCTCTACCAAGGAGAACACAGGCCTGACCTAGGAACTGAGCAGGGGTCCACTGTGAAACAGTAGTTGCAGTATCTGGACAGATTATTTTCCATTTTTAAAATAATAACAACATAAAAATAAGTGTCCCAATATTTTATTTGCATACCATTCTGGCATAGATCATCCCTTAGGATACATCAACATCATTTCAGAAAAAAAAACTGAGAGAATACTGTCTTCTACATTCCTATTAAATTTCCTTTTAATCTGTGGTTCAACATTATCGTTCCTAATTTTAGGTCTTTATGGTTTCGTTTTGGTTTTCTTAATCAAACTTGGTAGATTTTTTTTTTTTTTTTTTTTTTGAGACGGAGTCTCACTCTGTCGCCAGGCCGGAGTGCGGTGGCGTGATCTCGGCTCACTGCAACCTCCGCCTCTGGGGTTCAAGTGATTCTCCTTCCTCAGCCTCCTGAGTAGCTGGGACTACAGGCATGTACCACCACACCCAGCTAATTTTTGTGTTTTTAGTAGAGACAGGGTTTCTCCATGTTGGCCAGGATGGTCTCAATCTCTTAACCTCGTGATCCGCCCACCTTGCCTCCCAAAGTGCTGGGATTACAGGCATGAGCCACCATCCCCGGCCCTTGGTAAATATTTATTAATTTTATTGGACTGTGTAAGTAATAGTCTTTTGTATTTATCACTTTTTCTATCCTTCTAATTTATTATTACACTTTTACACCTAATAATTATTTCCTCTTCCTTTTCTTAGATTTATTTTCATGTGATATCAGCTTCTTGAGTTAAACACTAGGTTTTTTTTTTTTTTGGTTAAGGTATAATTGACAAATACATATTGTATATATTATATTTATGGTGTACAATGTAAGTAATGTTTTGATATATAAGTACATTGTGAAATGTTTAAATCAATCTATTGAATATATCCAATAGTTATTTTTTGTGGTGAGAATAAAGATCTACTCTCTTAGCAATATTTAAATATACAATACACTTTTATTAACTATAGTCACCATGCTATACAATACTAGATCTCGCAAACTTTTATTTTTTTAAGTGAAGGCATGTTTATTAAGTAAGTAAAGGAATAAAATAATGACTACTTCATAGGCAGGGCAGTCCTGAGGGCTACTGGTTGCCCATTTTTGTGGTTAATGCTTGATGATATACTAAACAAGCAGCAGATTATTCATGCCTTCCCTTTTCAGACAATATAGGATAACTTCCTGATGCTGCCACGGCATTTGTAAACTTAGACCTCCCAAGTTTATTCATCCTGCCCAATTGAAACTTTGTATCCTTTGACCAACATCTTAAAATGATTTTCTTTCTCAGAATATAGCTTTTGTTATATTGATAAGAAATGTTTTCCTTATGCCGATGTCTGAATATATTAATAATGTTTAAATCCGTAACAGCATATTTGATTCCTTTTTTGACTTAAGTCTTATTTAGGAGGATGTCTTGATATTTTCAAATAGTTGGATTTGGGGAAGAAAGAACAGTTTTGGAGTGTTTTTTCCAATTTAAAATCTTTGATTGCATTTATAGCATTGTGGTCTTAAAAAATTTTCTATACCACTTCTGCTTTGGGAAGTGTATTACAATTTCTCTCTGAAAAATTTTCCTCTGAAATAGGCTGTCATGGGTTCTCTGGATGGGTCCTGGTTTCCGAATTTAATCTCTAGTTCTTCCTCACTAGCCTTAAGAGTGGCATAATTCTTAACAACAACAACTCATAACCAACATCACATTAGCTTCACTATGATTTATTGAGGCCACTCTCAAAGAAAAGGTCCATTCTGGAAGGCAGTGAAGATAACAAAATTCACAGTACCACAGTCAGCAATGGTGTGGGCTCTTTTGCTTCTTGGAGCAGGACAAGTCAGCCCCTGGATTCCTTGCTGGCCGCCCCGGCTGACAAACCTAGAACAACAGCGGCACAGACATCCTCCCTGTGCGTGCCCGGCTGTTCCGTTTTGCTTCAAAGCCGGTGGGGGACGGAGGGGCGGTAAAATATTGGTAACTCGTGTGATAGAACTGATGGTACTAGTCAGCCATCTCACCCACCTCCTAAAGGCGCCTGCCCAGCTGTAACTGCCGCTGAGTGACCTGGCCTTGGAGGGGGCACATTCCACAACGCATGTTCTCAAATGGATGTTCTGGAAACATAGGACCTCTCCAAAAACGCCTGCTCAAAAACGTTGGAAACTAATGATAAAAACCGTCGTTTTATTTTATTTTTATTTTGCACCCGCAGGATGGACATCTTTTTGAGGCATGCCCTATCTGGTATGCAGCTGGAGGGAAAGCGCATTGGCTCACAGGCTCAGGGCTTCTCTCTGACAGATCAGAGCTGGTGGCCCGATGTGCATAACCGATGTAAATAATCAGTGATTCTGCAGGTGCCAGGAAAGTAGGTCTCTCCAAGGAACGAAGTTTTTCTTCATGTCCATTAACCATCAGTACTAATTTTACTATTCGATCTTTCACATTCATGTTTCTGTTACTGCCTGCTTGATGTTTTGCTTGGCTCAACTCAAAGACTGAGTTGATGAGGATTTTATTTTAATTACTACAGTAATAAGCTCATTGTAAAAGTTAAATAAGAGATGATAGAAAATTTTAACATCTTTGCCCAGGCAGCCCCCTCCAGTTCTTTCCTCCTGAAGTATTAACTTAATGTTGTCTTTTAACAGATACATACAAACGAATATTGAGGTTTTTTTTTAAAAAAAGGAATCATGCTATAGATATGAATTCCGTAATTTTCTCTGAAGGTGAATTTTTCTAATTTTTAAATGTGTATATTTCAAGCAATGCTACTTGGCATATAACAGTTTATGACTTTCAAAGTTTTATTATACCAGTAGAGAATAATCTATTTGGGTCCCATTTTATCTTTATCATCTTAAACCGATGTTTTCAAAAACTGTTTTGTTGTGATATAATTTACATATCATAAAACTCAACTGTGTTAAGTGTACAATTTAATAAATTTTACTATATTTACGGAGTTGTGCAACCATCAACAGAATCCAATTTTAAAACATTTCCATCATCCTAAGAAGAAACTTCACACCATCACTCTCCATTCCATCGTCAGCCATAGACAATGAGTAATGCAGTTTCTGTCTCTTATTATCTGCCTTTTTCCTTTGGACATTTCATATAAATGAGCTCATACAACATGTATGCTTGGCTTCTTTCACTGAGCACAATATTTTTGAAATATGTCCACCTTGTAGCATTTATCAGTACTTCCTTTTTTCTTGCCAACCAGCATTCCTTAAATTAAGTTTCACCTGGCATATTTTACTCATTTTTACATTTTTACACATAATACATCATGATGTTTTAGGTGCTTTATAAATGGCAAAAGATTAGAATTTGTATTTAACCACTTAACCACTGAAAGTGTGAATAAAATTTCACAGGAATTCTGAGGAGAGTGAGATCAGGCAATGCTTCAGCCAAGGGGCATCATCTGATCGTCAAGGAAAGGCAGAGTTTGAATAAGAAGAGACTCCACTGAGGGGTGGAAGGAGATGGAGCCTATTTCATTTATTTATTTATTTTATTTTATTTTATTGTTTTTGGCCGGCAGGGGATGAAGTTTTGCTCTTGTTGCCCAGGCTGGAGTGCAATGACGCCATCTTGGCTCACTGCAACCTCTGCCTCTCAGGTTCAAGCGATTCTCCTGCCTCAGCCACCCAAGTAGCTGAGATTACAGGTGTGCACCACCACGCCTGGCTAATGTTTGTATTTTTAGTAGAGACGGGGTTTCACCACATTGGTCAGGCTGGTCTTGAACTCCTGACCTTAGGTGATCTGCCCGCCTCAGCCTCCCAAAGTGCTGGGATTACAGGCGTGAGCGACTGTGCCCGACTGAAGATGGAGGCTATTACAACATGAGACACTGGGCCAAACATTGAGTCCGAGCCAGCAGATCTTTTATTTAGGAGGCAAATGAAGATTGAAAGAAGACCAAGCTGAAAGTGGATAACTAGTTGTGTGACCCAAGAAAGTTCTCCAGTCAGGGTCTCCATTTCTCACCTGTGAAATCCAGTGTTAAGTTCTCATCATCTCTAAGTTTCCTTCTGGTTCTAAAATTCTGTAGAGGTTGGAAGAAAATATGATAGTATTTTAAGTCATTAAAGAAATCTGTAGTCATAGTTTCATTTTTACAGCATATTGTTGGTCATATTCCTTGCTTTATTTAACATCAAGTTTTTGGGAATGCAATAGCTAATTATAACACTAGAATTATAAAAAACAGGATTTATTTACAGCAATATTTTTGACAGGAGCTCTTAGAAGGCCTTGTATAATAAAACAGAAATTTTATACATTAGTAATGTGTACAGTAGAAATTTGAAAGCTATACTAGGAGGAAGAAAACTGTTAGATATGTCTATAAAACAAGAATTAAAGACTCTAGGAAACTGTACTTATAAATAGCAGAAAAAATAAGAATATTTTTAAAATAAAATGATTCACTAAATGTAAAAATGCGAGCTATTACAGAAAGAAGAATGAAGGAAGGAAATGAAACTTCCATCAAAATTTATCTAATGGTTTGGTTATACTGAAAATAAGGAAGTTTTAAAGCGTGGTAATCATCTATAGTTTTGTCTGAATAAGAATAAAATCAGAAAGACATGAAACTTTGAACTTGCACTGAAGAAGAACAGGTCTTCTTGCATGCATAATGATTGAATAGTCTTCCCTAACTGCAGTAGTCTATAAAACCATAAATCATTATTATTTAGTACAAATAAAAGTATTTTATGGTCTGATATTTCTAAGAGTGCAATTTAAATCTACATGTATCTTTTTTTTTTTTCATTTTTAATATGAGACAGTGGTCTCACCGTGCTGCCCAGGTGATCTCGAACTCCTAAACCCAAGGGATCCTCACACCTCAGCCTCCCAAGTAGCTGAGATTACAGACATGCATCACCATGCTTGGCCCTAATTCTACATTTAAATTTAAGTGCAGAGCATTCGTGGCTTAGCTAAAGTAGCAGTCATCCCCAAGATTTGCTCCAGAGATTATATCTAGGTGTATAAAATATTGGCCAGGTGCAGTGGCTCACTCCTATAATCCCGACACTTTGGGAGGCCTATGCAGGAGGATCACTTGAGACCAGGATGTGAAACCAGCCTGGAACACGTAGCCAGGTCCTGCCTCTACAAAAAAATTAAAAATAAAAAGTAGCCAGATATAGTGGCACGTGCTTGTAGTCCCGCTACTCAGGAGCTGAAGCAGGAGGATCGCTTGAGCCCGAGATCTCAAGGCTGCAGTGAGCTGTGATCACACCACTATACTCCAGCCTGGGTGACAGATCAAGACTCCATCTTTAAAAAAGAAACTAATAGATAAATAAATTAGTTAATTAAATCAATCTAAATTAAATTAAAATATTGCCAAGTCCACATGTACATTAGTGGAAAAAACAACAATTACTTATGCATCAACATAATATAAAATATGATGTATTTTACATGTTCTCGCATTCTCTCCTGAAGCATGCCTGGGAAGTCTGTTGTTAAACATGTTGTCATTTCACATTAAAATGTAGGTTATTGATTTTTCTTGTTTCTTCCCACACTGTCATTGACCCATATCCTGTAAGACAGCAAAAGAGCTTTGACATCAAAAGATGGGTAAGGATAATAGAAAATCACTAATGTTTGGAAATTCTGTGCTGAAAAAGTGGATTGACCAACATGTAATTGGTTAATGGATAAATTCCTGGACTGGATAAGCTAGCATTTTATTCTGACACAAGTAAAACATTACACAAAGGAGGTAGATTCATTTTTTAAAAGTCAGACATAGTTTTCCTATCCTAAAGCTTATTTGCGTCCGCTGCAGACAAGTACAGGTAATTGCCTCCAGGTGTTTTCCTGCAGGAAGTCATTGAAATTCAGTGCTGGTAATGGCAGTTTTCTGAGCAGCAAAAACTAACCTACAGGAACCTCAGAGGCACAGGTATATTTTAGAATAGCAATGTCAGCCTTCTGAAAGGCCATAGATTCAGAATGGCCATTTTAACAGGATACAGATTAAATAAAACAAGAATGAAGCTATGTTTTTTAACAATAAAAAAATTAACATTAAGAAAAATGTTTTTCTTTTGCTTTTAAAAAATTTTAAACATTATTTGTTTTTCTTAAATTTTTGGTCATTGATGGTAACTGCCTAGCAATCATTTTTTCTCCCAGACAAAATAGGAATTACAAGAACAATTACATTTTTCTTAAAGTTCTGTTTTTATGAAAGCTCACATTCAAAAATAACTTATTATTAAACAATAACCCAGGTATTTTTTCCACTGCAAATAGATACTCTGGGATATTTAATTAAAGATGGCAGATTAGCCATTAACATTTAGCTCAATGCTACAGTTCAAATAACAATAATTTTTTTTAAAGGCATAGCTTACAAAGATAAAATAAACAAGAATGGAGACAACAGCAACAGAAATTTGGAAGCTGGGAGAAGATCTGAGAAAGTTGGATTCTCAGCCAACTGCAGAGAGAGCTGAGAAGCAGACTGATTTTTTTTGTTTTGTTTTGTTTTTAATTTCAAATACAGATCCAACAATGGGCATCCTCAAATATCTCTGGAAGTTCTGTTGCAAGGAGAGTTGCTGAAGAAGCAGCTGGACCTTCTCATCTCCTCCCCACTTCATGCAACAGGTAACTAACCATCTTAGCAGAAGATCTAAGAGATTAATTTCCTGCAGACAGACACACAGAGGGTTCGAACTAAAAAGAGGGGAGTTGAGCTTACACACTAAATGCAAAAACCCTTCATATTTCTTAACCTTTTCTAGGCTGGAATACCGTTTGCTAAGTACACACACTCTTGTGAGTGCATACACACGCATACACAGACACATATGCCCTAGGCAGACAACTAGAAGTCTTCTCCAGGGCATTTGACAAGCGCAATAGAAAAGATCTGAAAATACTGCCAATGAGGGCTCCACTAGGAAGAGCAAAGGCAGGCCATGATACAGTGAAGTCCCTGGTCAATAACTAGTCACACACTCCTCCTCCAATCGGCATTTTTTTTTTTTGAGACCCAGTCTGCTCTGTTGCCCAGGCTGAAGTGCAGTGGTGCGATCTCAGCTCACTGCAACCTCCGTCTCTCGGATCCAAGCAATTCTCCTGTCTCAGTCTCCGAAGTAGCTGGGACTATAGGTGTGTGCCCCCACACCCGGCTAATTTTTGTAGTTTTAGTAGGGATGGGGTTTCACCATTGGTCAGGCTGGTCTCAAACTCCTGACCCCAGGTAATCTACCCACCTTGGCCTCCCATAGTGCTGGGATTACAGGCGTGAGCCACCGCACCTGGCCTCCGATCGGCTTTTAGTGCACCCCTGCCTGGTAGGAGTAGCCACACAAGGATTACTAGGATAGGATTCTAATATGAGAGACACGGAAACAAACAATCAGGGAAAAAAGCAATGGGAGAAAACAGAAGCAGGAGGGGAGGATAACATTTGAAAATGATCCTTAATACATTCAGATAATATATTGCATGTAAAAAACAAGAAAAGCATGCTATTTTAGAAAAATAATGTTTTGAGGAATAAGAACTTTAAAATAATTAAAAATAGAATTGTGGAAGTAAAAAAATCAATAGAAGAGTTGGAAGATAAATTAGAGGAAATCTTCTAAAAGCAGAGCAAAAATAAAAAATAAGGGATAAAAGATAAGAAAAAAATGCAGGACATGTCCAGCAGGTGCAACGTCTATATGATAGGAGTTCCACAAAGAAAGAACTCAAGAAATAGAGAATAGGAAATCATCAGTGAAACAATGCAAAACTATTTCGCCCAAATGAAAGAACATGAGTTTTTAGATCAAAATAAACCACACAGATCCAGCACTAGAAATAATTTAAAAACCAGCATCAAGGCCGCCCACCTGGAAGGCCGAGGTGGGCGGATCGCAAGGTCAGGAGATGGAGACTATCCTGGCCAACACGGTGAAATCCCATCTGTTTAAAAAAAAATACAAAAAAAAAAAAAATTAACTGGGCTTAGTGGCAGGCGCCTGTAGTCCCAGCTACTCGGAAGGCTGAGGCAGGAGAATGGCATGAACCCGGGAGGCAGAGCTTGCAGTGACCCAAGATCGTGCAACTGCACTCCAGCATTAAGACACATCATTGGGAAATTTTTGAAACTCTGGGATGAAAAGAATATATTATCAGCCTCTAGAAAGAAGAGATTTTATAAGAAGAATCAAGATTCAGAGTGGCTTGACATCTCATAGTAGAAATGCTGGAAGCTAGAAGAGAATGAATTTAATGCCTTCGAAATTATGTGGAAAAATTCATTTTATTCTAGAATTCTCTATCCAGCCAATCTAGAAATTAGGCAGGAAGGTAGAATAAAGACATTCTCAGATTTCCAAGACCTCAAAATTTTTTGTTTGCTGTGGATCTTTCTTAGGAAGCCCCGGAGTATGGGACCACCCAAAATGCAGGAATAAACTCAGAAAGAAGGAAGGCATGGGATCCGGGAAATCGTGACCCACTTGAGGAATGGGAGAAGTCAACCCCAAGGATGATGGTGAAAGGGATCCCATAAAACTGCTGAGTCAGGCCTAGGGTATGACTCAGAATACAGGTCAGAAAGCTCTGGGTGAGACTTATTGGATAGGACCCAATTAATACTATATTAGGTTATTTTGAATGTGTTGAGATGACATTTACCCATCTTAGGTTGAATTACTAAGTACAGTCATGTGTTTTTTAATGACAAGGATACATTTTGAGAAATGTGTCATTAGGCCATTTTGTTCTGCTGACATCGTAGAGTATACTTGGTAGAGCCTACTACACACCTAGACTGTATGTGACAGCCTATGACTCCTAGGCTACAAACCTGGACAGCATGTCATTGTACTGAATACTGTAGGCAACTGGAACACAAGGGTAAGTATTTGTGTATCTAAACATATCTAATCATACAAAAGGTGCAGTAAGAATATGGTATAAAAGGGTTTTTTGGATTTTTTTGGGTTTTTTTGGGTTTTTTTTTAAGATGGAGTCTTGCTCTGTCGCCCAGGCTGGGGTGCAGTGATGCGATCTCGGCTCACTGCAACCTCTGCCTCCCAGGTTCAAGCGATTCTTTTGCCTCAGCCTCCTGAGTAGCTGGGATTACAGGCGTGAGCCACCACGCCCGGCTAATTTTTTGTAGTTTTAGTAGAGACGGGGTTTCACCATGTTAGCCAGGATGGTCTCCATCTCCTGACCTCGTGATCCGCTTACCTCCGCCTCCCAAAGTGCTGGGATTACAGGCGTGAGCCACCGCGCCTGGCCGATATAAAAAGTTTTAAAAATGATACACTTAGATAGAGCACTTCCCATGAATGGAGCTCACTGGACTGGAAGTTGCTCTGGGTGAGTCAGTGAATGATGGTGAGTGACCGTGAAGGCCTAGGACATCACTGTACCCTACTTCAGACCTTTATAAACACTGGACACTTAGGCTACACTAAATTTATTTTTAAAAATTTTCTTTCCACAGTAATAAATTAACCTTAGCTTACTGTAACTTTTTAACTTTATAAACGTTTTAATTTTTTTTAACTTTTTGACTCTTTTGGAGTAACACTTAGCTTAAAATACAAATACATTGTACAGCTGTACAAAATATTTTCTTTCTTTATATTCTATTCTATAAACTTTTTTCTATTTTTATTTTTTACTCTTTAAACTTTTTTGGTAAAAACTAAGACATAAACACAGACATTGGCCTTGGCCTGCACACACGCGTGATCATCAAGACCTCATTAGGTGGTAGGAATTGTTCAGCTTCATTGTAATCTGATGGGACCACTGTCGTATACGTTGTCTGTTGTTGCCTGAAATGTCATTGTGCAGTGTATGACTGTACACAGAAAGCCAAGCAAATACACAAACTAAGCAATGATGTTCTTTATGGAAGCACAAAAAGGGAAAAATAATCGCAGTGTATCGTATGGCTTCGTTGTGAATAGTGTTCTTAGTCTCAGTGATAATGTACCTCTAAACACCGACTGTTGACCCAACCAAAACTCTAATCTACGTGGGGCACAGAGGGGACAGCAATGTAACTGTGTGTGCTCAGGGACAGAGGGCGCAGCACAAAAAGAGAGCTAAAGCTCCACATTTCAGAGTGAGAAGGCAATAGATAGTCTAAAATTGAAAAGTCAAAAGTTACATTTTATTTAGAGATGCAAATGTAAGTATTAAACAATTGGTAAAAGAGTTGAAAATATTTTTGTCTAGGGAGTGGGAAACAGTGACAGCAGAGATGGCAAGAAACAGCTTTTTTTCTTAGCATGCCATAAAACAATCTGACTCTTTAAACTCTGATGAAATATTATACATTGATGTAAATGAAAAACAAAAGAAAGCATTGAGATGAAAAGATACACTCCTAAAATCTTTGGATGAGTCATTTTAGGTGATACGGCCAAGGTGATAACTTATCTGATGATGATTATACCTTTCTATTTGTTAATTCATTCATAGGGTTGTGTGAATAAACATTTATTGAATGATTATCACATGCAAAGTTCCATGAGAAAGGTAAATATGAAAGGAATACACCATGATTTTCTTCCTTATGTTGCTTGCAAGTGAATATGACATATATTTAAAATATGTTTGATGTGTTTATATGAATAAATAAAAAAGAACTAGGGCAGACAGAAAGGACAGTACATACATATGACAGTATAAAAGAAAAAAGATCTAGAAGTCTGCTTGTTGAATATGGAAATTTGAATTGAGGCTTGAAGGAGGAGGTAGACCAGATAGCTGGGACCAACATGAGAAAAACTATGAAAATAGGAAGTGTCTCAGCATGACTGGATGGTTGCAATTCTTTAATTATAATGAAGAACAAAGAATAAGAATGTTAACTCCAAGAGAGCAGGCATCTTGTGTGCCTTGTTCACCATTCCCAATACTAGAACATTGCCTGGCATATAACGATACTCAGTAAACATTTGCCCCATAAATGGATGGGTAAGATTGTAAAGATAGTTAGAGGTTGATAACAGAGGGCTTTGAATTCCATGTTAAATTTAGAATTTAGACTGTAAGTAAATAGGAAAATATTTGAGGAGAAGATCATGATGGCTCTAATTTTGACAGCTGAGTTTAGGACAGGTTGGAAGCATGCGAGGTGTCGGGTCAGTTAGGAAGAAATGAAAAATAAAGGCCTGAGTTTTATCCATTAACCACTAAATTAGAAAGGAAGAAACAGACCACTTACTGCAGAAGCAAGCCATGATTTTATGGAAATGTAGTAAATTTGAAGTCAGAAAAAATTGAGTTAAATCCTGTCTTTGTCATGTAATGGGTGTGGAGATCTGGACAAGTCCTAGGACATCTCCTAGGAACATCAATTTCCTCAGTAAAATCAGGAATAGTTTTTGCAAATACTTCACCTGTTGTCTAAAGGGTATCGGGTAGCTCTCAAGGATATGTCAATATGTTAAGGCAGGATAAATTGACATGAGGATAAAAGAAGAGAGAAGTGCAAGAGAGACATAACACATAGCCAGGAGTGGAGCTAAAAATCCACCATAACACACAAAGTCATGTGAAAGCATTTTGGAAAATGAAGAGTTAGACAAACGTTCGATGTGGTTGACCTATGACATTTCCGATGTAGTGGAAGCTTGAAAGACATTACTACTGCGTCAGAGGAAAGGGCATTACGTTGATGCAGAGAGAATGGGGGCTATTACAGATTAAACTTTTAAGAAGTTTGGAGGTCAAGAGACAACTGAAAAGGCAACTAAAATCTAAAAAGGTGAAGTTCGTGATTACCTTTTATATCCTCAAAGTATT
Source organism: Homo sapiens (assembly GCF_000001405.40). Lineage (NCBI taxonomy): Eukaryota > Metazoa > Chordata > Mammalia > Primates > Hominidae > Homo > Homo sapiens. The sequence goes on from NC_000006.12 coordinate 11,998,275, forward strand.
TGATGAAAATATTCACCAATCTTTGAAGTAGAACCAACCAAACCACAATTCTTTAACCTAGAGTGGACTTTAGTGAGCTAGTCTAACGCAGACACTTTGCAGGTAGGAAGTAAAACCCAATGAGGTGTCAATGTTAGCAGTAGAAGGTACCACTTATCTATATTTCTCAACAGGAACAAAACAAACAAACACATTTTAAAAACCCTAGATACAATAATCAATAGACTATGGATCTCATTTGCCTGGAAGGACGGTTCATGGATAACATGTAGAGTTGATTATTAATTAATGAATAAGGGAGACTTAAGGGAAGGAAAGGCTGTATGTATAAGATAGAATTGTGTGTTCTAAACAGTTTAGATCAGAAAATGGAAACCTAGAAAAAGTGAAACGATAGCACTTAAAGGGACAGGCATAATTGATTAACTAATTGGGAGTATGACAATTTTATTTTATTTTTTATTTTTTTGAGACAGGGTCTCACTCTGTCACCCAGGCTGGAGTGCAGTGGCGTGATCACAGCTCACTGCAGCCTTGACCTCCCTGGGCTCAGGTGATTTTTTTCACCTCAGCCTCCCGGGTAGCTGGGACTACAGATACCTCTGGCTAATTTTTGTATTTTTTGTAGAGATGAGGTTTCACCATGTTGCCCAGGCTGGTCTCCAACTCCTGGGCTCAAGCAATCCACTCACCTTGGCTTCCCAAAGTGCCGGGATTACATGCCCAAGCCACCACGCCCAGTCTGCGAATTTTACATGAGTCTTGTGGATCACTTCATGAAGTGCCCCTAGAAAAGGTACAATTCACCTAGATCTTTGAGAGAATGGCTTAGAGCATTTGGATGAGCAAAGAGGAGGAAAGCAAGCATTCTGTGCAACGATGTTGACTGAAACAGAAGTATGTAGAAAGGAAGCACCAAACTTACTGCAAGAACAGTGAGTGGACCCATTTAGCTGGAGTGAAGGCTTTGTTTAGGGAAGTAAGTAAACATAATGTTTTGAGGTGATCGCTTCCACCATATCGAGGTTTAAAGACCAGCTAGGGAATGTGTATCTTGTAGTTAGAGGGAAGCGACTCGGTTTCTTCAGTGAGGGAGTTACATGATGACAGCATTCCTTTTAGGAGATAATTAGGGTGGTGTGCCTGATTCAGAGAAGCTAGGAATGTTTGGACTCTAGCCCTATCTTTTCCAAGTTGATGTCATGGTAGACAACTGCATTCTCTCCCCAGACACTCTTAGATGTTAATATTGGCAACACTGGAAGAATCTGTTGAGCAGTTTTTATGAAATGTAATACGAGATGTACTTGCTTTTCACCTTCAGCAATTTTTTCAAAGAAGAGTGAGGAAAAGTTTGAAAATATGTCACATTGGACCTCTACATTTTATGGTCATAATAATAAAAATCCCACATTTTCTAAATGAAATAAAGCAATGAGTTAGAGTTGAGAAAATAGGAAGGCCTTGGTTAAGGCAAAAACAGAGGGATTATAAAAATGTTTTGGGGAAATGATGTCAGAATTGTAGGTTATGGATGGTTGTAAAGAGATAATTCTGATTTTAATCAGTTAGATCATCTATATTCAAGAAGCCAGGTAGTCAGGGCAATATAAACTAGAGGAAAAAGAGAGTGTGTAGTAGTTTTCATCCAGTGAAATCAAAGCCATTGGAACTATTAATATTAATAGAAGTAATTGTAAGTGAATTTAGAAGGGTAGATATCCAAGTCACCATCTTCATGGCATCTAGAAAAATCTTGTCCTGGGTTTAACATAAGTCATTCTCTTCAAATTAAAAAGCAAAGAAGAAAAAAGAAAATAGAGTAGAATGGCGAGTAGTTATGAGTATGTAAATAAATGCTTGCTTAAAAAGAAATCCAATTACTAATCAGTAAAAAACAAAAGGAGGATATAATGAAGAGACATAGAAGAATAAGATAAAGGAGACATTACACATAGTAGAAAGATATAAAGGAAAGGAGCTATTTAGATACTCACAGAAGCAGATTCTTCCAGATTACTTAAAAAGCACTCATTGCTCTTTTGCAAAGTATCCCTAAGGAGTAGGTTATTATCACCCCATTTTACAGATGGGGACACTGTCAAATGTCATTTGGTACTTCAGCACATTAAACTTAGGTTGCTAATTAGCAATGTATTTGAGATGGAATTTGGCAGTGGTAAGAAACATTAATATTTCTTTGTTTTCAGGACCTTCAGTGTAACTTAGAAGAACCATTTCTTTGACTTATATGCTATAGAACTGGTCAATATTGCATGATGACTTCTCAAAATTACCATTGATTTAGGTTTCCAGGAAAAATCAAGCATGCTTCAAGGAGATTTTAGTAGCAAGAAATCCGTATTATTTGACACCTGCTATTATTTCCTCAGCATCCCAGAATTTCTCATTTAAGTACTGCCCAATATTATTCTGGCTTTCTTTGCATTTGTGAATACAGAAACAAAATGTTTTGTTGTAATTTATTGCAGAATGGCAGTTTGGCCTTTGGGGAATATGAATCATGGGTCACTGTCATAAAACAACTTATGTTTGGAAACTTTTTTGAATAATAGTTGGTTTGGGACAAGTCTTTTTTTCCCCCTTACTAAGAAATTAGGAGCTTTCTTAATAAGAAATAACATTAGAGTTTTCAATTTTAAATTGTGTGAATTTGTTTTAATTGTATGAAAATGGATACAAGATAATCAGTTGCTCAGACTAGATACCAAAAGGAATGGTTATTAAGACAGTAGAAAAATATTTTTGAAGAACATTCATAGGATAGCCATCCTGCTCCCCCAAATCAAACCTGAGGCAATAGAAAACTATGCTTTTAGAATAATAAAAATAGCAGAAAACTCCTGTGAGAGAATGTCTGATTTACCTTTCTGGAAATCACTATTTTGTTCCAGATGGGTGGACTATGGAACTTTCTGAGAGAACATGGTTACAAAACTGTTGTGTGATCAAAGCTCTGGAGGGAGGGACTGTTTTGACTCTCTTGTTACTATGTGAGGGATGGAATTTTGCAACCAGAAGGTTCCACAACAGTTGGAAACGACAGTTGTGTGAGTAGCAAGCCGAAGACAAATGTGTGTGTCCTGTTACTCCTGCTCTGAGAACTACACACTGCCGCCGTGCCAAGATTTCCTGCTTGCATCAATATTTTTTATAATTACCAAACCTCATGTGCATAACCCATTAGTAGCAAAAAAAAATCTTACAAGTAACATCTACACTGTCTTTAGGTTAGACAGCCATCTGGCTAGCTGATATGCACTACACACACACACACACACACACATATGCACACACACAGATACCCTTATTTAGATGCCTTATTATAATGCTAGTTCCATTTTCAATCATCTACCATAAATCAAGCTCTACCTCCTTTTGCAGAAATTAAAACAGCTGAAATTTAAAAAGCGCTTAGAACATGTTAAAGCTCACCATAGGCTATTGTCATCCTGTTATTAGCGGCTTACTCTTATCTTCCGTTCTCTGGCTCATCTCTCTCACTTGTGAAATCATGTCCCTTTCATTTTCCTTAGCTTCCAGAAAGTCCATTTTATCAATTGCCCTTTCTCCAACTTTTCCCAAGTTGGACTTTGACTCTAGACTCGTGGGTTCCTTTGTATTGATGTCCACAGACATTTTGGTACAATAGGAACTGCCATGAAAAGGAGATGCCAATACATTCAAAACTGTAAATTTAATCGTGTGCTTTCAAAAACAAAATAGTACGGAATGGTATAGCAGAAAGTTTAGGGAAGGGAAAAATGAGTGGTTTAAGTGTTGTTTACCAGAAACAATTCATCTGCAAAATTTGATCCCATGAACAGGCATCTGGAGAAAGCTTCTTATGTTGGCAACATACTTACAGAGTCAGAAGCTGGTGAGTTTGAGATCTGGTAAGGTTTGGGGAAACAGATGTTAATGTAGGAGGTAGATATTGGGAATTGAGATGTGTTTGCAAAAAAAGAGGTACTTGTAAAGCTAGTGGTGGTGAAGTTGTGGTGTTGGCAGTTTATTAACAAGAAGGAAAGGTTACTTGTAATCAATGATTTAGATGGGAAATTTGAAATGCTTTAGGATTGTGTGGAATACTGTCCTGTAGTCTGGTCCATGTGCCCAGTATACCCAACTGCTGATGCTGAAATCCCATAAATATAGACATATAAATACAGCCCTTATTAAAATATATGTACATATATAAATATATAATACAGGTGTCTGCATATATGTGTGTGTATGTGTATATATATATATATACACAAAGTAGTTTCAGTATATATATATATATATATATATATATATAAAATAGTTTCAAGCTTCATTTATAAAATATGTTTCAAGACACCCAGTGGATGCCTGAAACCTCAGATATTACTGAAACCTATATATATATAAACTGTTTTTTTATTTCTTTTTATTTTCTTTCCTTTCATTTATTTATTTATTTTTTTTTTTGAGACAAAGTCTCACTCTATTGCCCAGGCTGGAGTGCAGTGGCGCTATCTCGGTTCAACGCAACCTCCGCCTCCCGGGTTCAAGCGATTCTCCTGCCTCAGCCTCCCGAGTAGCTGGGATTACAGGCGCACACCACTGCACCGGGCTAAATAGAGACGGGGTTTCACCATGTTGACCAGGCTGGTCTTGAACTCCTGACCTCAGGGGATCTGCCTGCCTTGGCCTCCCAAAGTGCTGGGATTACAGGCATGAGCCACTGTGCCCGGCCCATATATACTGCTTTTTTCTATACATACATAGTTATGATTAAGTTTAATTTAAAAATTAGGCACAGTTATAAATTAGCAATAACTAACACTAGAACAATTGTAATATACTGTAATAAAAGTTATATATGAATATGGTCTCTCTCTCTTAAAATACTGTAATATTTTAGGACCATGGTTAATGGTGGGTAATTGAAACTATGGAAAGGTGAATATATACAGAGATGTGTGCATGTATTTTTTCATATGTACATATATAATTTTTTTAAAACCCGAAATCGGGTTATAGTAGACAGACCATCAGGGTGGGAATTAAATCGCAAAGAAGAGAAAGGGAGCTTAAAGAAAAACACTGTTTGTTTCATAACTGTGTTTAGATCACACCTGCTTTTCCAGATCCCAGCCTGCCATGAATGAGAATATAAAAGAAATCTGAGGCTTACTGGGCGGTGGGGTAGCCTAGGGATTTAGGATGTGGTCTTCTCTGCAGACAGTGAGGGTCCCTGTGAGGCCAGGTCTAGTTGTACCTTTGGCTTGGTACTTAACCTAAGCCTGAGCTCCTTAATCACTAAAACATGGGTAACTGTGTCTGTAGCAGCAGGCTATTATTATTATTTTTTAAAATAAACTTTATTTTGGAATAATTCTAGCTTTACAGAAAATTTATAAAGATTGTAGTAGAGAGCTCTGTACATATGCCCTTACTGTTTACTTCATTGTTAACATCTTACATTACCAGGATACATTTATCAAAAATAAGAAATTGACATTTTGACATTACTGTTAACTACACTGCAGACTTTATCTGGATGTCAACAGTTTTGCCATTAATGTCTTCTCTCTATTCCAGGATCCCATCAAGGATCATGTTAGATTTGGTTGTCAGGTCCTTTCTGGATAAGTCTCCAGAGACTTATTTCAAGGTTTAAAACATAACACACGTAAAGCACACTTAGTCTAGTGCGAAACATGTAATAAAGCATTGGTCAACACTGAGAGATCGTTGTAACTATGTGACAGGCACTGTCTTCAGCACTTTCAAAACACCAATTCATCTAATATTCACAGCTATTCTGTGAAGACTCCAATTACATTTACTTTACAGATCAGAAAATGGAGGCACAGGAAGGTCAAAAAAATGGCCCCAAATTATGCAGCTGGCAGATCTGGGCTTCAACCCAGGCTTGCTGGCTCTTAAGCCCATGCTTTTAGTCACAATGTTGCCTCTTTGTATGTGCATCATATGTACTCTTTATTAGTAGGAGACTCTGGAACTGGTGAATTCTCTCTAGGGCAGAAGAATATTACTAAGTAGTTCTCTGTTAGTCACTGAAAATATGCCTGATTCTTAACCCTCTTTAAATAAAAAGTTATAGCAACTCAAAAAGAAAAGGTAAGGAATGTGGATTGAATAAGCCAGAAGTACATGTTTCATAGCTTTTCTTATAAATCACTTTTTTGAACGCTTACTCTGCCATATTTTTTCTTAATTTTTTATTTAATTTTTTATTTTTTTTGGAGGGAGGGTTTCACTCTGTAGCCTAGGCTGGAGTGCAGTAGTGCGATCACTGCTCATTGCAACCTTGATCTCCCAGACTCAAGGGATCCTCCCAACTCAGACTCCTGAGCAGCTGGAACTACAGGTGCACACCACCATGCCTGGCTAATTTTTGTATTTTTTGTAGAGACAGGGTTACCCCATGTTGCCCAGGCTGGTCTCAAACTCCTGGCTCAAGCAATCGGCCCCTCTTAGCCTCCCAAAGTGCTGGGATTACAGGCATGAGCCATTGTGCCTGGCGTTTTCTTAATTTTATACACATATATTCCTTTTTTCCCTCTCTCCTTCCCTCCCTCCCTTCTTTCCTTCCATCCATACTACATGTTTAAGCCATGGAACCTCTATCAAAACTACAGCAGAAAAGAAACTTTTTAAAAAAATCTAGGAATGAAGATTAAGAGCAAGCAAAAGGCAATGGAGTTTCTGGTAAGAATCAGGAAAGGCATAAAAGAGGAAGGATTTGGGAGCAGAAAGAAGGGAAGAGGGAGGATGGACTGGGAGCTCTCCAGTCAAGCTCTGCCAGGAACCAGCTGGTTATGCTGTCATTTAATTCATCTGACTCCTTATATTGGCTTCCCAGTCTATAAAATGAGCAGATCCCCTTTAACTGTGTTATATATAATAATTTTGAGTCCAGAACATTTAAAAAGGATGTTTAAAGAAAAATGCAAAAGCAAGAAAGCAATTAAGTTGATATGAAAGGCTTAGCAACTAAACTGGAAGGTGAGCAGGCCTCAGACTACAACATTCATTCAACACACATTTATTTCAACACTGTTCTAGGTGCTGGGGAGACAGAGAGGAACAAAGCATTGCCACTTCACTCATGGCCCTCATAGTCTAGTAGAGGGTTGAGAGATAATAAACATGGAAACCAATAAGATAATTGTAGACTGTGCGATGTTATAAAGGAAATTAATGAATGATGATGAGGCAGAGACTATGGGATAGGGGAGGGGGTATCCACACTTGAGATAGGACATATCATGTTTAATTTACATGTGTTCAGATTGTGATTACAATGGGGAAAATAAAACCCTTAAATCCTTTGGCAATCGACAAAATCACTTTATTTATAACACACTAAAGGTGTGCACCAAGACGGCTTTCCACAGGAGGTTTGAGAACCATTTTACTAGAAATGTGAAAGAGTATTTACACAACAATGTTTTAAGAGTTATTTAGGAGTAATTCTTCATGGAAATAAGAAAGTCTAGAATGAAGTCTTTCGGCTCCTCCTCAAGCAACTGACAAGCCCCTTTCCTAGGCCGGCATTAACTCTATCTACAATTCTATGTAAATATACTCTTGGTATCTGCTATGAACTGAATTGTCCCCCCAGCATCCCAATTGATATGTTGAAGCCCTAACCCCCAATGTTACTGTATCTGGAGATAGAGTCTTTAGGAGGTAATTAAGGTTAAATTAGGTAATAAGGGTGGGGTACTGATCTAATGGGATTAGCGACCTTAAAAGAAGAGACACCAAAGAGCCAGTGCTCCCTCTCTCTGTATAAGCACTACACCTGGGAAAGGCCATGTGAGGACACAGAGAGAAGGTGGCAGTCTACAAGCCAAGAAGACAGGCCTCGGAGAAAGCCAACCCTGCTGATGCCTTGATCTTGAACTCCCAGCCTCTAGAACTGTGGGACACTGTATTAACTCAGGGCCCACTGGAACAAAAATACCACCTTGTTAGATCACAGATGAGGTTGGGTCATTTTCATTGAATGCTATTCTTCCTCTAGGGTTCCTCAGTATGCCACTTGTGGACATAGCTTATGAGGAATTCTTTCAGGAACTGCAGGTATCAATCACATCTAGTTTTCTTTCCCCTCTTCACAGATAGTACACCAAATAATATCCATTAAACTGTCGTTACTTGCCATTGAAAGAGAGGCTTTTCAATGAGATGTGGTTTGCTCTAATAGCACGTCTCCTACAGGTAACAGTATCAGTACTGGCGTAAATGTGAATTAAATCATCCTTCTAAAAACAAGACATGGTTAAAATCAAACACATTTTCTCTTCTTTTCCTTAAGCCTCACACCATGCCAGGATGCCCATCATTTTCATGACACATCGAAATTTGAAAAACTTTAAAAAATTCCCTTTTCTTATTCTCTCCATTGATGTAGAATATTATAAAGTTATTGAAATCTGGTTTTCACAAAATATAATCTTTAAACTTTGAGCATCTGAATATTTTCTGGATCCCCATCATAGTTCTATCATTTACCAGCTCTGTAGCTTCCGGAAGACTATGTAGCATTTCTAAGCCTCTGTTTCTTCATCTACAGTGTGGGTTTATGGCGGGGACTAAATGAGTTTATATAGGAAAACCCGGCAAGTCGTAAGCGCTCAATAGCTGTTAATCACTACCACTACCATTATTACAACTGCTAATGTTACTGCAGTTTTTGTAACCAGCCTCCATATCGATCCTAAATCCATCAGTAACAATAACTTTCCTTAAAAAGACCATTCTCAGGCCAGATGTCTCCAAATAGCTACCAACTGTTTGTAATATCATGTCTTAATTCCTTCCAAATGATGACTGAGTAGGCTCTTCTCTGGTTGCCTGTTGCCTGCCCATTCTGTCTTCCTAGCTCATTACGAGAGAACCCACCCTTCCCAATGGCCCCGGGGCAATCCAGGTGTACATCTCTCATCTGAGCATGATTTTTTTTTTGAGACGGAGTCTCGCTCTGTGGCCCAGGCTGGAGTGCAGTGGCGTGATCTTGGCTCACTGCAAGCTCCGCCTCCCTGGTTCACGCCATTCTCCTGCCTCAGCCCCCCGAATAGCTGGGAATACAGGCGCCCGTCACCACGCCCAATTAATTTTTCTATTTTTAGTAGAGACAGGGTTTCACTGTGTTAGCCAGGATGGTCTCGATCTCCTGACCTTGTGATCCGCCCCCCTCGGCCTCCCACAGTGCTGGGATTACAAGCGTGAGCCACTGCGCCCGGCCCTGAGTATAATTATTAATACCTTCCCTTTCACTCTCAAGTGTCCTGGCATGGGTGTTACTTGTTTCCCATTTGCTTAGACTTTCTGCTCTCGGTGGAAAAACCATCACACACAGTTCACTTGCTCTCACCTTCAAGTTATTTCCCTCCTCTAGAATGCTGTACTTCCACCACTGCCAAATCGTGAACTTTCTCTCCTTCAATATCCCACTGAGAACTCACCCCCAGGATGGGACTCTGCTCACCCCGTCCTCTACTCAAGCAGAAGCCTCTCAGCGATCATGTAAATAACTGTATAACTTTAATTGGCTCTGTTTATAAGCCTCTTATATCTTTTTTTCCCTCTAGGTATTTTTCCATGTGTTTATCCTGTCTCCATTAATTTGTAATCTTCCAGAGGGCAAGGCCTGAACACAAGCTTCTGTTGGTGTAAAGTGGAGGCACAGGTAAGGCTGATTGCTAGACACTGCCGTCCTTCTTTATTAGTAATCTGTTAAAAAAAAAAAAATTCTTTGTTGTAGTGTTTTGTTAGTGATGGTCCCGAGACTGCTAACCTAATGAAAAACTATATCCAGTGTCTGCTAGTGTCCAGACAAAAGAAAATCAACAGTTACAAGCTTTTCATAACGTGAGGGGAAAGTGTGCGGATATTTTGACCCATAAGGGAATTTATGGTGTATGGAAAGCATGTTATAGAATTTGTTGCCTTTAGATTTTTATTCTTGTCTTTTCAAGGCTGCAGGACTGTCTCAGAAGGGAAATAATATTTACCTTCCAAACTGAGATCTAAAACCCGAACAAAGCCTCAGGAAACATACTCCACCACCATCTTACAAGTTTGTGCTACGGGTGGAGGGAAAATGAATCTAATGTAGGAGGCCTCCCGCTGTGCGTCTAGCAGGAAAGACCATACGGTGCAAGTCTCCAGGATCACTAGAGGGGTGGATTGTTCATTTCAGTCCAGGTAGCAACAGGAAGCCCGTGCAAATGTTCCTCTCTCACTGCGGGGCTAAGGAGTGTGGGTCCTTTCCCGCGACTACCTGCTTGCCTCTCTCAGAACCTGCAAGTGAAGTGCGGAAGATCTGTCTATCTTCTCGGCGGCGCAGAGCCCAAGGTAGAAACCGATGGAGGCGGTGCACTAGATAACATCAAAGCCCCGGGCAGGGGCCAGAAAGGGGGGCACAGGCAGCCCGGGGAATGAAGCGCCTCCCTCTAGCATTTCCTCTCACGCCCACTTCCAACCTAGGAGGCTTTTGGTTTCTGCTTTTTTGTTTTTAAAATTAAAAGTTAAACCCAGGAAGCTTTGGATCAGACTTTTGTGTTGCAGTTCGGGTAAGTTTTTCTCTCGGTTCTTTTGTCTGGCGCCTGGCTTGGGAAGAGCCTGGGCGTGGGGCAGAGTTGGCAGGGCGTGCGGGGAAGGTTTTGTCGCCGGGTTGCCCAGAGGAGGAGGGGATTCGGCCGGTGGATGGGAAAGCCCAGCGCGCGCGGAGGGCGGAGGGCGGAGGGCCGAGGGGAGGGACGAGCGGCGTGACCCGGCGGCCGGCGGGGAGGAACCTCCGGGATCTCCGCGTGGCGGTGGCGGCGGCGGCGGCGGCGGCGGCGCTGCCGGGCCGCGCGCTGGGCGGAGGGCCGGGGCCGCGGGGCCGCGCCAGGGGGGTGCCTGAGCCGGGCCCGGCCGGGCGGCCGCGTGGGAACCCGAGCCGTGGACGCAGCGGCGGGGGCGGGCAGGGTGGCGCGGGGCCCAGTGGACGCGGCTCCGGGGTGGACTTTGTGCCCTCTCCAAACTGTTCGCCAAGAAAAACGTGTGTTGAGCTTTTCAGTGACACTATCCTCCCTCGAACCCCACTTTCCCCAAGGGGGGCTCCAGAAGCGTTCACGCGGACGGTGGGGATGGAACCATAGAGAAATGGACCTCCAGGAGCCCCCTCTTTTTTGGGGGCAGAGAATGGTCACTTGCTCCTGCATTGTCCCAGGATTTTTGACAGTTGAAACTGCAGTTTACCATTCACATTCATCCTCCACATTCACCCTCTGCTTCATTTTTTTCCCACGCTGTGTTTATTTGATACATTTTGAGAAAATATATTGGATTTGCCACAAAACAAGCCTAAAGAAGCTACTTTATAGTATAGCCAGGTTTCCCTGCATCCTGATATCTGGGAAGAATTGTAGGCAGAATTAGGAAAAGAAACTGCATTTAGAAAATTCAAAAACTTACTAGGAAACTATTCTGTATTGTATATATTTCAAATAAAAGTTTAATATCGGTTTGCTGCTCAAGGAAATAGTTGAAATGTCAAAATTTACCTATCGTAATTCGAAATTGCATGTATGTTTTGTTAGAAAGTTCGTAGTAATGCTGAATCCTACATAAACATTGTGTTGACAGTATGTTGTGCTCAACAATTATTGGGTTAAACGTTATTCATTCAGTTAGCATTTTTCACTTCCAAAGTGATACAAACTTCACTCATTATCACATTACCTTTCTCCTGACAGATTAATAGCTATACGTTCACAGTTAAATGCATGTTTACTTTTGGATTCAAATAACCCAGTTGGGAAGTTACATTATATACTTTTTTGGTGATTGCAACCTATTGGATATCATTTCATTTCACAAATGAGAGATGGTTATAGCACAATGAAAATAAAAATTGCATTATTTCATCGTAGGGTTAGCATTAGTATGCTAGACATAATTGTACATGTACACAGTTGGATGATCTTTGCTTTTATAACCAAATTTACTTTGTAGTAGGCATATTTCTCCCTTTACATGATATTATTTTTGGCTACACACTCGCCATTACTGAGTATTCCATTTTTAATCATTCCCATTCTGGTGGTTTGAGCTTTTCTTAGCTCAAATGAGCCAGAGGTACGATTTCCTCAGGGGAATTTTAGGGGTCAACTCCAGCAGGAAAAACCTAGACGTCGTTATGGAAGCCCAAGGGAACAAAACAATTCAAGTTTGCACAGATGGCCAGCTGTCTTAGTGGTTGTATGGTCGTTTAGCATTTTTATTCCTTAAAAGGGGAAACCAGTTTAGTTTCATCAGGGATTTTTTTTTTTTTGCATCAATTTTGTTTCACCTTATTCCTCTCAAGTTTGAGGTGGCCCGTTAAACCAGCCACTTTTGCTTCTTGAGGTGGACCTGTGGAATTTCTGTGCCCCAAACTGCGAACGTTCTTTAGGTCTAACCCTGAAAACCTTCGTTACCCTGGTCCAGCCCCTCTTCACTGCTTTGCCATGGATTTCCACTCCTTGCTTTCTCTACTGCTTTCTAGCAGCCGGGGTCACACCTTGGTTCATGCTAATTACTCCCTCTTCCCCTTTCACGCTCTCCCCTCTTCCCTGGAGCCCGGTCCGACGACCAGCCCCGCACCCCCCTTTTCTGTCCCCGAAGTCCCCTCCCGGGTTGGCCCTATAAGCTGTCAGGCTGGCAGGCAGGGGTTAATTGCGCTCGCAGCTTCGGCACTGGGAAGCACCAGCGGGGCTTTGGAGCGGCCTCTGGAATAACCTTGGCTTTCCTCGCTCTTTTAATAGAACATCCGCCACCAAAAAGTGGTTTCAGTTCAGGGTTAACATGTCCCCTTCCACTCTCCAAACCAACACCCTGCCCCCTCCGTTTTTTTAAAAGTTGTTTTTCAAAGTTAATGAGTTTTAAGTTTCACAATGACTTTCCCCTTCCTTCTACGCGTTGCTGAGGAAACCCCCTTGGGGTCCCCCCCCCCCCCCGCCTCCCCCTCCCCCATTCTGCCCGGGCGAGGGGCGGGGCCGGGAGACCCCATGACGTCAGCGGCCGGCCCACATCCTGCTGTAGAAAGTAAAGAGACGGTAAAGAGAAACTACGGCCCCGCCCGTCCCGTCCCTCTTCCCGGACCAACCGCCCCCAACTGAGCGACCCCGCCAGGCCTTCCCGGGGCCGCGTGACTGGCCGGGCCCGCCCCTCCGCCCCCGCCGTGTGCTGGTTCCCCAGGCGTCGCGACCCAGGGCTCCCGCCCCCCGCGTCCCTAACCCCGCCCCTCCCCCCCGGGCTGCGCTGCCACCTCCTCCCGCGTCCCCCTCCCGTCCCTGCGGCGGCTCGGCCGGGCGGGGCGGGGAGGGGCGAAGCGGCGGGTAGGTGGCGGGGCCGGCGCGGTCTGGGGCCCGCCCCGCCGGGGAGACCCGGGGCACTGGCTCCGGGTTCGTGCCGGGCCGGGCGCCCATCCAGTCCCTACACCCGGTCAGAGCTGGCGGCCGCGCCGGCCCAGCTGGGCCCCGGCGCCTGGGCGTCCCGCGCCCCTCGCCCCGGCCTCAACCCCAGCCCCCGCGGGGACGCCCCCTCCCCCGCCCACGCGTCGCCGCCCGCGGCCTCCCCTCCTCCCGCCCCCGGGGATCCCCTGCCGCCCCGCCCACCCGCGGGAAAGCCTCCGACCTTCGCCCTGCCTCCCCCGCGCCGCCCGGCCCGCGTTCCTCCCGCCGGCCCCAAAGACGCTAAACGTGCCCTACTCTGCCCCGGGGGAGAGGTAAAGCCCGCGCCCGTCCTTCCCGCCCCGGGCCCCGCGGCCCCAGGGTCTGTCCGCCCGCCCCGCCGCGGCGCGCGCCCCCCAGCCCGGCTGCCCGGCTCCCTGGCGGCCGCGATCATGCCGTGGCTCCGGGCGCCGGCGAGCTTCGCCGCCTCCTCCGCCCGGCGGCTGCGGCCCCCGCCCGCGCGCCCCGCGCTCCCCCCCCCGCCCCCCGGCCCGCTCCCCTGTTTAATATTTCAGTGCTGGGTGGTGTGAGCGCCAGTCGCCGGCCTTCAGCGTGGCGGCTGCTGGGCGGCGGCAGGGTGGCGGACGGAGCGGGGGACCGGGGAGCGGCGGCCGCCGGAGGAGGTTATGTTTGTGTTTGGGGTTGTCAAGTGAAGGAGGGATCCCAGGCGCCGCCGCCGCCGCCGCGCGGGGGTCGCGGAGATCCCGAGCCGCGGCCGCCGCCATCAGCAGCGCAGCTCCAGGGCCGGCTGCAGCGGCAGCGGCTCCGCCGGGCGTCCTGGCAGCAGGTTCGGCGCGGGCTCCGCGGCGGGGGCGCTGCAGCTGGGGAGGGCGGCGGGGCGGAGGGGGGGGGGGGCAGGAGCACATCCCTTCGGCGGGCGGGGGGCGTGCGGGCGCGCGTGTGTGTGTGTGTGTGCGTGTGTGTGCAACCGCCGACCTTGCAGAGGGGATGGCTGCGTGCGGGAGACCCTTGGCACTTCTGGGCGCCCTCGCCGCGCGCGAGCCGAGCAGGTACAGAGGGACCCAGCCTCCCCAGCCGCCTTCCAGCCGCAGACGCATTTTGCAAGAGGGTGGGGGGTGAAAGAGACCAGGCCTCGGCATCCCAACCTCCCGGCTTTGTGGGTTTCTTTCCCTTTCGTTCTTTGCTCTAAGTGCCTGTTTACTCCCGGCCACCTGGGTAGTTTCTTTCCGGGTTGGGAGTGCGCGCCAGCTGCAGTTGGGAAGGGGGCGGTGGGTTGGGGTGCGGGTCGGCTCGGGCTCGCCTTGGGGTCGGGCTCGGGAAGGAGTTGCTGGCTGGAGAGGGGAGGGGGCGGCGGCGGAGCAGGCGGCGAGGAGGAGTCTCAGGGCTGCCGCGCTCGCCTCATCTCGTCCTCCTCCTCCTCAGCTCTCTGCATCCACTCCAGGCTCCTTCCTGAGCTGGCACTTCCATTCCCCCCCTCCTCCTGGCATGCGAAGCGCTTTGTTCAGTGCAGCGTTGCAGAGGGGTTTTCCCAGGCTCCGCCCTCCACATTCATTCATGTTTTTTCTCCTTGCAACTGTCTTTACGCTTTTTGATCGTGTCATGTTTTTGCTCCATGTAGTATTTATTTCTTTCCCGTAAAGGAACGGTTTATCACTCGTCCTAGTCGCTACAATGCTGCTGTCTTTGGAAATACCCACTTCCCCCCACAAGGATTTAAATATGGGATGGACAGCTAGGGACAGTGGGTAGGCAATGAACGGGGTAGCAGAAAGCCTTTACGGACAGGGAATGTGCATATTTTACATTTATGCTCCGGATCCCATGGGATCACATGATTGGATTACAGTCAGAGTTCACGCTTTAAAAACTTCCAAATATCGTTACCATTTAAAAGCTTTAAGTTTAACAACGAACGTAGTTAAGCATTCATGCAATTTATTTGGTTCAGCTGTGTCTCAATTCTTTATTGAATCAGAACCTTCCTGAATTAGATAGTGGATGTTTCTTTAGAGCAAGGAGCTGAGAAACCCTATCTTTTATAGATCACTTAGCACAATGCTAGATGAAATACTTAGACCATCATTTTTTTTTGTATTATTTTACCATGTAGTTAAAAATTGCAAATAATTTTGTGCTGAGCTGACATACAGCCAGATCAGGGATAAAATACTGAAGTTAATCGTGGCCTTCTTTACCTTCTGTTTCTTTGCTGTAATGAAACCATAAATTTCTAAAACCTTATACTGGGATGTTAGACACATTCCTTCCCATATAGGCTTTCTTAAGGAGAATTAATAGTTCAGCGTTTTTGTGTGACAGGCAAAGCGTCTACAATGTTTAGTTTAGTCCTTATAACAACCTTCTGATGTGGATAATATTTCCTAATTTTACAGTTGGGAAATCTGATCTTCAGAGAGGTTAAGTAACCTGAACAAGGCCACACAGTAAGGGGTAAAGCCTGGCTTTGAACCCACTCCGGTTTGACACCAAGATAAGTCGTCATGACTTGCTGCGCCTCTTGAAAGAAATCCTGAAAGTAGATGTTATCAGCTCCACAAAATAAGCACTGGATATAACTGAGTCATGCAGTACCACATTCTTTAGTTGTTTATCTTGGACAAGTTACTTATCCAATTTTTTTTTAATCTGTAAAATGAATAAATGATAGCTACCTTCTTAGTTAACAGATTAAATTAGGGAATGTGTAGAAAGTACACAGGCACATAGTAGGTGCTCATAAGTGTTCTCTTGTCTTCTACAGTACCACTAATAACAAAAGCTTTAAGCCTTCCTTACTGTTCTATTCTTGTGTCTTTGCTTAATGACTAAACATTGTTTCATGTTTAACAGTGACAGTGGGCTTTGCTTCTCAGTTTTCTTGCAGTAAGTTAAAATTTCAGCTTTAAGATCCTTGAGAATCTTGTGGAAGAGCCTGAGGTGGCTGATTTGGGGAGATAGGTGATTCGGTTTTGGGTCATTCTTATCTTGGCCTATTATATTTCAGATCACTGTGTTTTAAAATCTGTAAGTCAGGACAGGCTAGGTTGTGCTGCAGTAACAAATAACTCTCAAACCTCACTTATTTAAGCAAACAAAAAGGTGTTTCTGGCGTATGCTGTGTGATCACGTGGGTTAGCCAGAGCTGACTTTGTGGTGGTGTCAGATTTGCTGTCTGGAGCAGTGCTGATCCCATGGCAGAGAGAGAAGAGCTCTGGAGGATCATGCTGTGGTAATAACTAAATGCTCCAGCCTGGAAGTGAAGTCTCATCCGCTCACAGGTCGTTAGCTACAGCTCCTCACACGTTCCTGGGAAACACAGGGAAGCAGAAAGTGTGGTCCTACCATGAACCTAGAGGTCTGGAATAACTGGAGTAGCCACAGTAGCAACCCCTTGTATTAACTGAGTTAACTCTAAAACAAGATGAACAAGACATTGTCCCTGCCCCTATGAATGGGCAGATTTACTATACATGCCTAACATAATCCTTTTGTAGCCTGATGCGATACTTTACTTGTTCCTGGTATTGTTGTTTTAAAACACAAAGTGAGTTTTTTTACTCTTGTCTGATAAAGATACGGTGTTTTTTTTCTGTTTTCTTAATGAGAAGTCCCGATACTGACAAAATGACCTCTGTTTAATTAAAAGTTAGTAATCTTTTGCAGTGGTGCCCAGCTTGGTTACTTTTTCTTGAGTTTAGGTTAGTGCTCTGCTAGGCAGTAACTTTTAAAGTATCTTTCTCCTCTGAAGGTAGTAAAATGTGCTTCTCCGTTTTTTTCTTTTTCAGCACATGGATTAATTGATGTATGTTGAGTTTATGGAGCTGCCTTTTGGTGGCTTGCTTTATCTGCAGTTTTTAAGAAGAAAAAGAAGGCCCTGAGTCAAAGAAGATGCCTCGAACTAAACAAATTCATCCCAGAAATCTAAGAGGTAAAGCATTGCATTAAGTAGAAGTAAGGCTTGCTGTAAATCTTTTAACAAAGTATCTCTTTGGTGACAGGAATGGCCGTTTGTTAGATGTTGACCCTGCCTGGTGAGGAGCGCTATTTCTCTTGCTCATTTCCAGCAGTCCTGCACAATTCCTGTCTCTCAGGAGATACTTAATAAATATCTGTTGAATGAATGAATTGAATTTGACGAAATTACAGTGCATTCCTTCCAAACCATTAGATGGGGTATTAAAGGCTGAAAGTTGCTATTTGTTAATAGGAACCATATTTGGGTCAAGGAATCTGAAAGTAATGGTTAAATATTCTTTGCCAACTGGATCATTAAGAATTTTATGTTTTTTTTTCACTCTTCCTCCATAGTTCTTTTGAGGTTTATTTTTGTACCACTCCATCAGTTAGATTAACAAGATAAGAAGTGAAGAGAATTGTAGGCATTCACTCAGACCATTACTTGCAGAAGTCAGAGGCAAACTGAGTTATTTTCCACGAAGAAGCAGTGGGTCACAAATATATATATGATACACATTTCATGCAAAGACAGAAAAGTGTGTGTTTTCCATCAACCGCGAATACTTTTAATAGTAGAAAAGTAAGTGTATTCTAGCTTATTGTTTAAAAAGATTTGTATTGTTCTCGTGTTATATCAATGGTGAATAGCAATTATCTTTTATATTAAACTTCAGGAGATAAGAATGTAGTAGTGCTAAAAACAAGAACTATTAAAGCAAATAATTCCAAACTGACTATGGTGTTTTATGAAATATTTACCATTACAGAAAAAAAATTCTGAAGCGTATGTAGGGGAGAAGTGACTTAAAAATCAAATAAATTAATTTGAAATGTTTTTTGGTAAAATCAATTTGGCTAGTCACCATAAGGTGATCTTTGAAAATGCAGTCAATTTTATGGCCTCCGTGAATCTGGAAATAGTGCTTGTTTCCTGTCTAGAAATCTCTGTTGCCTCAGGTGGATGCCTCAGCCTAAGTTCAAATTGATGATTGTAGTAACCAGTGTTCAATGAGGTGGAGATTTACATGAGAACAAGTGTGGTGTGTGGAAATCTGATTTTTTATAGTCATATAGAAAACGTTGAAAATTGAATGTGTTTGCCCGTCCCCCTCACTAGAATCTGAACTCCCTAGAGACTCACTCTCATTTGTTACTGTAGGAAAAGCCTCCAGACCCAAGGGTACCAGCTGAGGTGGGCATTTGGAGACATGGGCCCTGCTTTATCTGTCCAGGGAGGGCACCCTGTTCTAGTTTGCACAAGTGCAGCATACAGATGAGCAGCAGCCCTAGCCCAGCACAGTTCCTGGCAGCTAATGGCAGCCCAAATATTTGTTGAAGGAACGAGTGCATGATTGATCTGAAGGTGTTATTTATTAGGCCATAAGTATTAAACATTTTTCATATTTAAAATATATGTTCATAACATTCTAGATAAAATGACTATCCTGAGAAACACAGATTTACAGGCCATAGGCTCTTTTCCTTTCTGTATCAAATAAATGTTCAACTCAGCACATGTTTGTTACTGTGTCTGGAATTGGTGGGTTCTTGGTCTCACTGACTTCAAGAATGAAGCCACAGGCCCTCGCCGTGAGTGTTATAGCTCTTAAAGGTAGCGTGTCCACAGGTTGTTCCTTCTGATGTTCAGATGTGTTTGGAGTTTCTTTCTTCTGGTAGGTTCGTGGTCTCGCTGGTTCAGGAGTGAAGCTGCACACCTTTGCGGTGAGTTTTATAGCTCATAAAGGCAGTACAGACTCAAAGAGCAAGCAGTAGCAAGATTTATTGCAAAGAGCACAACAACAAAGCTTCCACAGTCTGCAAGGGGACCCAAGCAGTTGCAACTGCTGCCTCCGGCAGCCTGCTTTTATTCTCCCGTCTGGCCCCACCCACATCCTGCTGATTGGTCCGTTTTACAGAGAGCCGATTGGTCTGTTTTACAGAGAGCTGATTGGTCCATTTTGACAGGGTGCTGATTGGTGTGTTTACAATCCCTGAGCTAGACACAAAAGTTCTCCAGGTCCCCACTAGATTAGCTAGATACAGAGTGCTGATTGGTGTATTTAAAAACCTTGAGCTAGATAAAGAGTGCTGATTGGTGTATTCACAATCCCTTAGCTAGACATAAAGTTTCTCCAGGTCCCCACTAGACTCAGGAGCCCAGCTGGCTTCACCCAGTGGATCCCGCACTGGGGCCACAGGTGGAGCTGCCTGCGCCTTGTGCCTGCACTACTCAGCCCTTGGGTGGTCGATGGGACTGGGCGCCTAGGAACAGGGGGCAGCGCTCATCGGGGAGGCTGGGGCCGTGCAGGAGCCCATGGCGTGGGGGGTGCTTAGGCATGGCGGGCTGCAGGTCCTGAGCCCTGCCCCACGGGGAAGCAGCTAAAGCCCGGCGAGAAATCGAGCGCAGCACCAGTGGGCCGGCACTGCTGGGGGACCTGGCGCACCCTTCGCGGCTGCTGGCTTGGGTGCTAAGCCCCTCACTGCCCGGGGCCTGCCAAGCCCACGCCAACTGGGAACTCTAGCTGGCCTACAAGCGCCACGCGCGGCCCCCGTTCCTGCCCGCGCTTCTTCCTCCACACCTCCCTGCAAGCTGAGGGAGCCGGCTCTGGCCTGGGCCATCCCAGGAAGGGGATCCCACAGTGCAGCGGCGGGCTGAAGGGCTCCTCAAGCGCGGCCAGAGTGGGCACCAAGGCGGAGGAGGCGCCGAGAGCGAGTGAGGGCTGACAGCACGGTGTCACCTCTCATTACTACCTTCATGTACTTCATGTTCTTATGATAGGGATAAAATGATAAAACACAGGTCTCGAAAGAAGAATGGAGTTGAAGAGCTGATAGGTAAACATGTAACTATGTACTATGGTGAGAAATGAATAGTATGGAGATTCCACAGAGATAGGGAGTCATTATTTTGTCCCCATTGTAGGGGGCGCAGTTTGGGGTGAAGCAGAATGATGATTTAGGGAAGGAAAGTTAACACCTGGATTTGGTTCTTAAGGCTGGGAAGTTATCTGCGAAGCTGACAAGGCAAAGTGAGTGCATTTCATCCTGGGGTAGCAGGTTGTGAAATAACTTGGGGACTCTGAGCAACTTTAAATGGTTCTCTACTTCTAGAGCATAAGAAGTTCTCTTCAGGAGGGATGAGAAGGAGACAGAGAGGCAGGATACTGGAGCAGGAGAATCAGGAGGAATCAGATCAGGAAAGGCCCTCAGATTTAAGCCTACATTTCATATGTAGAGTTAAAAGTTTTAATAAGAAAACTTGCTTCTTTAAGATATTTTTAAAGTTTTCAAAGAGAACTTGGAATAAATTGTGTCTGACTTGTCTGTGAGCGTTTAGGAAGTTGTTTGACTAAGGTAGTTAAGAACTCACAGCCACTAAAGAAAAGATTGGAATAGATTAGCTCTAGTAAGCACACTAAAGCCACCTCAGTGGGACTTCTGATGGGGAAGGGGAAGACTTCAGGGAAGCGGCGGCTTCTGAGCCAGTGTAGCTCACTCAGCAGCGGGGGACGGGAGTGAAGCTCTAGGTCCCCATGGGAAACCCTGAGTAAGCAAAGGGACAGAGGGGTTGGTGCTCGGCGGTGACACCTAGAAACTTCCGCGCTCCTCACAATGTCTGTAAGGACTCGAGCCCTGGGAAGGATGTGGGGGTTAGAGTAAGCAGGTAACCATCAGCTCCTGAGATTAATTTTTGAGCGTATCTTTAATATCTCATTGTGACAGTTTGGAATATCAGGTTTGTTGTGCCCTACCTGTGATCCACTGCTTTGCTTTACTAGAAGACATCTCTAATGCGATGAGATAAGAAATGCGGGGAGAGGAAATTGGGAGACCAGAAGAGGAGTCACAGCCCAGTTTGCCCCTACTGTTTCTGCCGTCAGCTCAGGAGCTTTCAGGAAACCCATCGCCTCTTTTTAGGCTTCCTGGGGGAAATAGTCTGAAATGTTTGTCTTGTGCTTGGTAATCAAGTCCGTATTAAAAGGCAGATACCTGATACTTTCTCAAATTATATTTTTCTTATGCTTCCATGGTAGTTTCACCTCTTAGAATGTAATCTTTCTTTGATTTATTCTTGGTTCTCCTGCTGGGACAGATATATCCCTACGGATGTGCAAAGCCACAGGGTAACATGTATCTTTCAGGAATGTGAATTTTACTTGGGGAAAAATACGTATACTTGTCTGTGTGTGCACACGTATACACATATTAAAGTATTAGGCAAGCATAAAAATGTGCAATACCGGAATCTATCATGGAAGAGTATAGAAAGTTTGCATGGATTTGAAAATTAAGCCTGCATAGACTGCTTTTATAAGGAGATGGAGTATCTACTTCTTTGCTCTTAGAGGTTGTTTACTAGAAAAGGTATAAGAAGAATTGTTAGGTTAAGGGCAGGAAACAAATTGGGGACATAAGTGAGACAGTGTCCGACTTGATGGGTGATCTGTATACTGTGTAGGACTGTGGTTTTGTTGAATTCAGTCTCTTCACCCTTGGCCCAGCGTTAAACCAGATAGAATCAGTTCTCCATGCCTGTTTCCCATCTGCAGGAAACGTGGTGGGTGCCGTTTTGACACCGACCTATCCTTTGTGAGGTTGAAGAATTTTGGAAGAGCATGAGAGCAGCACTTGGTGTTCAGAAGAAAGGCTTAGCATGTTGTCCTGGGTTCCGTGGAGAAGGGTCACTGGACTGCACGGGGTGGCTCTTCCGCATGGTCTTGGTGAGTTGACAGCAGGGCAGCGCTGTGTCTCCCAGCCATCATTCCTTACTCATCGCTGCTCTGTGGAGGGGTTATCTCCACCACCTTCTCAGGCCTTCGCTTGGACCCTTGAGTAACATGGAATGGAGGAGTTGGTGACTTGCAGGGGGTTCCATGCCTCTTCCGTTGTGATAAAGGGCTCTATTCGTGTTTTGCCACTCATTCTTGTGAATGTGTTTCAAAGCTTTGAAAAAAAGGAAAAGAGGTGTTACTTACTTTAGTTGTATTTGGGCCTAGGGTTTCAGAGCTTCATTTCCTTTAAGATTGGAAGTCAGTGTGGAAAATACTAAGTATTAACCTTTTGCAAAACATGTTTTGAAAATTTGGTGTAGCTGTTTTTCATTTTTATTGGTTGAGTTCATTTGGCTCCGAACACTCTGCAAAAAATGAGAACTCTTTTCCTGTCTGAGAACCAGATTTCTTTCTTTCTTTCTTTTTTTTTTTTTTTTTTGAGACGGAGTCTCACTCTGTCACCCAGGCTGGAGTGCAGCGGTGTGATCTTGGCTCACTGCAAGCTCCACCTCCCAGGTTCAAGCCATTCTCCTGCCTCAGCCTCCCAAGTAGCTGGGACTATAGGCGCCTGCCACCACGCACAGCTAATTTTTTTGTATTTTTAGTAGAGACAGGTTTTCACCACGTTGGCCAGGCTGGTCTCAAAACTTCTAACCTCAGGTGATCCAACCGCCTCAAAGTGCTGGGATTACAGGCGTGAGCCACCGCACCCGGCCCAGACTCCTTAAAATGTGAGAAGTAGCACTGAGGAATGTGATCAGATCATGGCCTTGATTGACACATGGGGTCGCTTTCCACGGTTGGCCTTCTTGTTCTCCACGGCATCTTGTGCATAGCCATTTGCCATTTCAGGAGCTCAGCATGCACATCCGGTATTTCTGTGCTTGGTTGTCTTTCTGGAAGTTACTTCTTCTCCTTTTCCATTTCTACTGTTTTCTTACTCTGTATGGGAGATGTCTCTGCTAAAGATTTCACCTCTGAGTTTTTTCCCCCATTTTCTGTTCTCTTGTCAGATATCCTCCTCCCCTCCACAGACATGCCCTGGGTCTCCTTTGCTTGTGTCCACATGTGCCTTCTTGTACTTACAATATTACATCATGATCATTCTTCTCCAGGTCTCTTATCTTAGCGGGATTATAATATGTTAGAAGAGACCATTTTGGTCATCTGTGTGCAACAGAAGAATATTTGGTTGTGTTAACTTTTTGTTTTTGAGACGGAGTTTCACTCTTGTTGTCCAGGCTGGAGTGCAGTAGTGCTGTCTTGGCTCACTGCAACCTCCGCCTCTAGGGTTCAAGCAATTCTCCTGCCTCAGCCTCCGGAGTAGCTGGGATTACAGGCCTGTGCTACCACCCCCGGCTAATTTTGTATTTTTAGTAGAGACTGGGTTTCACCATGTTGGCCAGGCTGGTCTTGAACTCCTAACCTCAAGTGATCCACCCGCCTTGGTCTCCCAAAGTGCTGGGATTACAGGCATGAGCCACTTCACCTGGCCTGGTTGTGTCAACTTTTTAGCAAACTAGAGGGTTGAGATGATTTATACTCAGGGAATTTGTTTACATTTTTGAACCTCGAGTAGGAAATGCTTCTTCCAATATTTGGTAGCTTCTGATTAAAAACTTGTGATAATTTTAATTGCCTGAACAGATAAACCAGGTGGTTATTGTTAACTTTTGTTTTATATGAAATTTTACTTCACATACAGGATTTTTTTTTTTTGAGACGGAGTTTCACTCTGTCACCCAGGCTGGAGTGCAGTGGCACGATCTTGGCTCACTGCAACCTCCACTCTCCAGGTTCAAATGATTTTCCTTCCTCAGCCTCCTGAGTAGCTGGGACTACAGGCTCCTGCCACCGCACCCAGCTAATTTTTTGTATTTTTAGTAGAGATGGGATTTCACCATTTTGGCCAGGCTGGTCTTGAACTCCTGACCTCGTGATCCACCCGCCTCGGCCTCCCAAAGTGCTGGGATTACAGGCATGAGCCACCGTGCCTGGCCCATATACAGGATTTTTATAGCTTATCCATTTGGTACATTTAATTACTATAAAGACAAAGAGTTTGGCCTCATGCAGTCACTGACTTGCTATGTGGTTGGTTTCCTTGTGTGTAAAATGGAGATGATGTGTGAAGATGAGATGATATGGCAAATGTAAGCATTTGCCACAGTGCCTGACACAGGGTACACGCTCAATCCAGAGAGCTACTACTTTCTGTAAAAAACTGGTTTATGTCAGACTCCTTGGTTCCATATGCTTTATAAACACAGGAAACAGGAATATCTACATAAAATCTGTAAATGCATTTTAGGCTTCTCATGTGCTCAATGTTGATTACTGACATGTCCCATTCTTGTTCTGACTATTCAAAGGTTGGGATCTGGGGGAGAGAGGTCAGTGCAGAAAATAATTTGGGAATATTCTTACCAATGTGCTGCTCCCTCCATTTTTCCACTTAAATTCATTTAAGCCTTGCCTCGTTTTTTGACAGTGTTAGATGAGGTTAAACAGAATATTTGTCTTCACTTAGTTCTCAAGAAACAGATTCTGAGGGCTTCTGTTTTATTGTTGAACTCTTTTAAAAAATGTCGGTGTCACAGATCACGCGGGATTGAAGTGAAGTGCTCTCCTTAGGTTCCAAGATGGCAGCCATCTCTCTGTCCCCTCCTCCGCTTCTGTGTGACACAAGAGAAGCCCAGCCGGGGTTTCAGAATTAATCTGATTAAGATGAATGTTTTCATTTGCTATCAATTGTGGGCCTACTCCAGTGGTTATTTTACAAAGTCTACTACCAGGAATAAAATCTTACGTTTACTTGTTATGTAGGGATTATCTTGTTGAGCTGATAAGTGGAGTAGGTTTAATTTTGATGATTTTCAGATGGAATTCCAGCTGTTTAAGCATCGTTTTTCACATTTGAATGTTAGGTCAGCAGTTCCATGCTGACAGCCTTAAGATTTGAGAAATCAAAAATCTTGTAGTGGAAACAACCCCATGGCTTATTTCAAAAACAAAAACAAAAGAAATTCTCTATATTGTAGCTAGAAAGGAAATAAGTAATAATTTAAAAAATAGTTTTTGTTAATATGGGTGAAAAAGTTACTAGGAGCGATCATGTAGATAGCTGACAGTGCTTAGTTTGAGGAGGATAAAAATATGAAAATGGAGTTAACATAGCAAGCCTCCTTTTTTTTTGCAGATAATTATTTTTCGGCTCATGTTGAGAGCTTATTTGATGCTTTCTGAATGCTTATTAACGTTAGCCAAATGCTTCTTTTTAAAAGCAAATACAAAATGTAGTAATATGATTAACCAGAGTAATGATTTTATTTTAGAACATTTTTGTACAAAATATGTTCTGATGAGGTACAATCTTATCTTACCATAGAACGGAAAAATACATAATTTGTGTAAAATCTCCTATCATAGAAAAACATTTTTAAGCTTCACATTTAAAATGGTGATAATTTGAGCAAGTCTGGGCTAAAGTTGATTCTTGTATTATGCAGAAAAATATTTTATGAATAAATTAAGTGCTTTACTTTTTCATGTACATATTTAACTCTTTAAAAACATTTTTGCAGTACTCTTCTGCATATTAATACTATGCTCATTACAGGTGATGCTGTTATACTGTTAACCATTGTTCACTATAGCACAAAAACTTATAACCAAAGAGAGACCTTTCTTCTCAGTGCTCAAGTCATTCTTTGAGAAAGAAGCTCTTTTTGATCATGAGGCTTTAGGCTTACATTTGGTATACAGTTGCATTGATTTTGATTTTTTTTTTTTTTTTTTTACAATTTTAATGAGAAGTTGTCAAAAGGTTTTTAGAAATTTTCTATGATGAATTTTGTTCTAGAAAATATTCTAAGGCTGTGCTGTGATGCAAACATATTGAAAAAATAGAAAGTGATAACAAAACGGTTGGCTGCTGTGTAATGAGATAGCAGTCCCTAAGCATGAATTGGAACCATACGATTTAAGAGTTACACCTACTTAATACAAAGCTTGATTTTTATGGTCCTTATGTGTTTCTGTCCACAGAATTTCTGTGTGCCTGTGTGACTAGAGTATGAATTTAACCAAGCATACTTGTTATTTTGTACTTTGAAGTGTGCTTACATAGGTTTATCTTCAAATTCTTTCAGATTTGCCAGTGAAGAAAAAGATAGGGTGAGCATACAACTGCTTAATATAGTATCCAGATGGAAATAGGTTAAATATACAATTAGGGTGGTATTTGATAGTTTAAAGATAAAGAGAAAAATAAACTGGGCTGATACACAGGGACTTGGAAGGTGGTTGGTTAAGCCACGCCAGGAGTGAACCAAGGCTCTCCCTTGTGTTGCTGGGTTCTTGTGCGCCTCTCTGAGAGAATTACACATTTTACAGCAGGAAGGATGGACCTTGGAGGTCATTTAGTTCAGCCTCCTCATTCTGCAGATGGGAAGGCCCAGTGGCAAGAGGGAGGTGGTTTTATATAGGTCTTACGATGATAAAAAGGGCGAACCTTTCCACAGGTCTCTACTAGGCTCTGTTCAGAGGGCTTTTCATGTTTTCTCATTTGATTCCTACAGCTACCTGAGACAGGTACTTTTATGATTCCCATTTTATAGATGTGGAAATGAGGCACAGAAAGATTGCTATTTGCCCAGGGTCACATAGCTAGGAGTCTGCAGTGCTTTTGCTTCTAACCATCATGCTTATACTTGCTGATGTTGATAGTAGAAAGTTCTTTCCTGATTAGTAAGAGTTTAGAAATGCTCTCCATCCCAGTTAACTTGCTAAGCATAGCACACAGAGCTGAGGTTATTCAGGAGGTCAGAATTTGAAGGATTTTTTTTTTCTTAAGCCTTTAATTGTTTAGAATCTATTTCAAGTTGTATATGTATATATTATTCCAAGTTAGATTTGCTATCACAAACAGTCTAGGGAATTTCCAAGCTCTTTAAGAGGGAAAGAATAGTTGTCTCATCCAAGACGTTTGCTTACATGATTTGCTTAATTTTATAGTTGGAAGTAGAGATGTTTTACTTAAAATGGAGAATGGCAGTGTTTAAGTGGGAATCTCCGCCTAACAGTTGAAATTTCGGACCTGAAGGCTTAGAAAATATTTCTGGGGAAACTAACGTGAAAACATTAAAATTCTAAGCAAAATAAAGTAGATAACATTCTATAATTTGTCTTCATGTGGTAGGTACAGTAGGATATGGAAAAAGCATGCTATTTTAGACGTATGGGCACTCTTCTTCCACACTGCAGGTAAAGGGCAAATAACCATCGTTGGCCAAGCTCGATGGCTCACGCCTGTAATCCCAGCACTTTGGGAGGCCGAAGCAGGTGGATCACCTGAGGTCAGGAGTTCAAGACCAGCCTGGCCAACATGGCGAAACCCTGTCCCTACTAAAAATAAAAAAATTAGCTGGGCTTGGTGGCAGGTCCCTCTAATCCCAGCCACTTGGGAGGCTAAGGCAGGAGAATCGCTTGAGCCTGGGAAGCAGAGTTTGCAGTGAGCTAAGACCACACCATTGCATTCCAGCCTGGGCAACAAGAGTGAAACCCCATATCAAAAAAAAAAAAAAGAACAATTTTTAAGGGATCATAGAGAATTCTGTTTGTCTTCCGGGAGCAGTGAAAATGCTAGTAGGCTATGCCTAGACAAAAAATCTTGTACCTGCCCTCTTAGAGTTTTTAATACATTGTGTCTCCAAACACAGGAAAATAAAAGATCTAAGAGCAACATAAAGGAACAAATATAATTTCAGGCTAGTATGTGCAGTATGGAATTCCCCAAGGGAAAGTGGAGCAAAAAATAATTGGAGTGGAGTAAAGCAATGAGGAAATACCTCGCGGAGGAGTCAACTTTCTTCTTAACTAAAACCTGAATGAGGAGGAGTTTTGAGACGGGTTTTTAAAGACAGGAAGGATATATTGGCAGAGAAAGTAAGTTGTTTTTAGACTTTGGTAGAAGAATGAATGGGGGAAAAATTACGCAGAAGTGATTGTTGGTTTAGATTGCTTGGTTAGAGTGGATTTCCCAGTGAACTTGAAACTCTAAGGAAGAAAAGAGGAAAGGAAACTTATTAGATTTAATGTGTTTGGTTTCTGTTTATGGTAATTATAAAATTACCAGGTCAAGGTCTTTTATACTGCCAGGTGGGTCATAAGGTCATAAGTATTTAAAGAAGATCGTTCGGTGGCTAGGCAGTATCTTTTATGTTAACATTAAAAAACAACCTTCACCCAAGGTCAGTATGATTTGTTGACACCCAGGAAACTGGTAACAGTTTAAAAGAATGAGGCAGCCATTTTTTATTGTTTTTCCTATTTCAGAAGATCATCATGTGTATGAATAAACCAGCAAAAGAGTAATATGGCTTTGAGCAAATATCTTTAGTTTCTTCTTAGAGAACAAGGTGGTTAGGGGTTGGTAGGGGTGATGTTGATCTGCAATTTACTTTTTAGTTGTAAATGGCTGTTATTCTAGGGATCAGTAAATCCTGACTAAATCCAATCCTCCACCTGTTTTTGTAAATAAAGTTTTATAGAAACATAGCCATGCCCATTTATTTACATACTGACCATGGCTTCTTTCATGCAACAGTGGCAGAGTTGAGTGGCTGTTTGTGGTCACGAAGCCTAAAATATTTACTATTTAATGCTTTACAGAAAAGTTTGCCAAATCCTGCCTGGGAAATAGAGAGTTAACACATTTATTTGTAAACCCTTTTCTGTTTGGGAATAAATGAGAATGCTTTATCTTTCTGTGGAGGATTGCTGTAGGAATGAATTATTATTAGGGGAACCTAGGTACTGCTTTAGTTAGTATGTGAGGGTCCGCTGCCTGCCAAGCATAAGGGAATTCACATTTGGTTGGGAAGAAGTCCACTTACTTGTGGTTTTAAAATGAAGGGAAAGCCTTAGAGGTCAAGTTAGTCTTGCCAGAAATATTTAGTTCTTGATTTTCTGATACCAAGGTCATGGGTCTCAACCCAAAAGGATTAGATTGTTAGGGAGCCACCTGTTGAGTCAGGTAGCGTACTCTCCTTTTTTAAATTGTACTGTCTCCATCTAGTCACCTTTGTATTTAACTCAACTTGGTAGAAAACTACTGCAGGCAATCCATTTCCAATGCTGTACATGAAACGTCTTGTGAAGGACTGTTATTCAGCAAAATAGAGCTGTCTTTGAGAGGTGCGCCTTCTGACAAATGAGCCCTACAAGGAAGGTCTTCCCCTGTGAGTGGAGTGCCAGGTCTTGAGAATGGGACCAGGTCATCTGAGTGATTGATAATTGCTGCTAGCACATTAAGCATTATAATTTGTCCTTAGGTTGTGGGAAACATGTTTAAACATCCAATATGTTTGAATTCTCAGTAGTCCCTACAACACTTTCTGTAATATCCTAATAATTCTTTTTTTCTGGTGGTTTTGGGGTAGTGGGATGAGAGTAAGTAAATGATATTTTCGTGTTATGGTTTTGTTTTAATTTATTTTGCTTAAGTTTAAATTTAAGGATAGGCTCAGTTGAGCTCATGATAACTGTTGAGTTGTTTGGGGAATACTTTGGAAAGCATGTTAATTCTCCACAGATGAATTGGATCGTTAACCTCTTTATTTTGGTCCATGCTGGTGTTAGCACGTGGCTCAAAATAGTATGAGAATCGGTAACTGTTAACATGTTTCCTTTCCCAGCGACAGGAAGAGCCCATAGTGGTCATGAAGTATGGTGGAATCAGAGGGCCACTTTGGTGGCTGTCACTTATAAGCCCGTCTGGACTTCTGTGGCCCGGCTCTGAGGTGTTGGACATGTTGTGGAGTTCACCACCTCTGTCCCTGTCTTCCAGGAAATTTATAGTTGAAGACATAAAGGCCATAATGGCTTCACGTGAAAGTCTAGACAGCTGTATGAATATTTGATGAGTGAGCATATAAGGAAATACTCAGTTAACATATGTAAGGAGATGTATGACTGCATAGCCAAGGGGTTAAATGCTTTATTTATCCTTCTGTATGTTGACAGTTTAGGTTGATCTATCATGTTTTGATGGAATTAATGCCATACGTGTGATGAGTTATATATTCAGCATTCATGTTAATATCTTCTTGGAAGAGCTAGGGTTTGCAATAAGTTGTATTTGATGGATATGCTCCTTCATGGAAAGATTACCTTTTTCAGTCTCCAGTTTACTGCCTTAGTTATACTACTGTATACTGTATTTGTTTTACAGCTTTATTAAGACATAATTTACATGCAATAAAATTCACCCGTTTTAAGTGTATGATTCAGTGTGTTTAGTAAATTTATAGAGTTGGGAAACCTTTACCACAGTCCAGTTTTAGAACATGTCTGTCACCCCCAAAATTTCCTTGAGCTTATTTGCAACCAATCCTTGCTCCCACTGTCAGCTGCAGGCAATTGCTGGTCTGTTTTCTGGCTCTTTACATTTGCCTATTCTGGACATTTAATAAGTAGAATCATACAGTATATAGTTTTTACATGTAGCTTTTTTTCATTGTTTGAGATTAATCTGTGTCGTAGCATGTATCAGGATCTTCCTTACCTTTTATCGCTACATAATATTCTCTTATATAAATGCACTGATTGTATTGATTCATTCACTCGTTTGATGGACATTTGTATTGTTTTCAGTGTTTGGCTTGTGTGAATAATGTTGCTGTAAGCAATCCCATACAAATCTGTGGTTACATAGAGTGTTCTAGAAGTCTCAGGTCAAGCTGGCCATTAACACCTATTTTACTTGATATTACTATAGAGACTAGGGTTATTGTTTGCATGGCATGTGTGTTCCTGTTCTTTCACGTTGAACTTTTTGTTTCTTTGAACCTCTGCCACTGTTGCAGGTGTGTCTTTTGTGGACAGCGTGTTGCCGCGATTGCTTTTTCATCCAGTCCGACAATCTGCCTTTTGGGTGGGTGTTTATTCCATCACATTGATGTAATTTATTATTATTACTGAATTTATATCTGTGATTTTGCCTTTTCTGTTTGCTTCATACTTTTGTTCCTCTGTACTTCCTTAATTGCCTTCTTTTGTGTTAAATTTTTTAGTGTATGATTTTGATTTCTCTTTCTTTTTTGTTTTTACTATACTTTTGATTAATTTTCTTAGTGGTTGCCCTAGAGATTATAATATGCATCT
Organism: Homo sapiens; assembly: GCF_000001405.40. Taxonomy (NCBI): domain Eukaryota; kingdom Metazoa; phylum Chordata; class Mammalia; order Primates; family Hominidae; genus Homo; species Homo sapiens. Next base: position 12,029,635 of record NC_000006.12, read on the forward strand.
TAAAGTATCACTGCCTACTTGAGAGTAATACTAACTGAACTCTGGTAAAATATAGAAACTTT